>NC_000001.11:228759879-228911394 GCF_000001405.40 Homo sapiens
TCATCCTCATTGTCTTCATAATGAGTAGGATGAAGGGAGGAAGAAGAGAAGGGATTGTTCTTGCTGTCTCAGGGATGGCAAAGGTGAAGGAAGATTCAAGTATAAGTGAATCCTCGAAATTGAAAACTGTGTTGTTCCAAGGCCAACTGTAATCCAATCCAATTGTCTTTATTTCCTTCCCAGAAGTGCTGGGCACCATCACCAAGTGAACCTGTATTTGAGAGTGATATACATTGGGGAAACTTCCTCACTGTGGAGTTCTCTAGGGAGTGGGCAAAGAGATGGAGTTAGGGGTGTAAAAGGTTTATAGAGGGGTGTGATGTCTGGGGAAGATAAAGGGAAGGAAGTAGGCTGGACAGGGCAACCTCTGGTGGTAACGCATGTGGGAGTCTCTTATCAATCCAAGGAGAAGTCCAGAGCCAGGCTGCCTTTCAGAGAAGTCCCACATTGGGCAGGGGTAACCAAGCCCTAGTACTTTGCACTGCTAGGTGACTGGCTGGGGGCTACCTGGCTGGGAAGAGCATGGCCTCAGCTCACATGGCTGCCTGGCAGCCATCTTCTCCTCCCACCTGGGCTGCAAGCTCTTCCCTAGAGGGAGATGGGGCTGCCATCCCAACTGAGTGAGTTCACAGCTCAGCGGTGACAACCATGATTGGGTATTAGCCTCCAGTATGTGCTTGACAGTGTTTAAAATAATTTTATTTAAGCCTTAAGGCTACTCTAAGTTAATTTTTTTTTCTACATTTGAAAATCGAGAAAACTCAAGAGGTTAAGTTACTTGTCCAAGTTCAACTAATGGCTAGAAAAATGGCAGAGCCAGGGGATTTGAATGGATGAAATGGATGAAATGAAATGATTGTCAATGGAGATTAGAAACTTGTCTTATATTCTTTAAAAAATAGAGGGCATGGGCCTGGCACGGTGGCTCACTGCTGTAATCCCAGCACTTTGGGAGGCTGAGGCGGGTGGATCACCTGAGGTCAGGAGTTCGAGATCAGCCTGACTAACATGGAGACACCCCGTCTCTACTAAAAATACAAAATTCACCAGGCATGGTGGTGCATGCCTGTAATCCCAGCTACTCGGGAGGCTGAGGCAGGAGAATCACTTGAACCTGGGAGGTAGAGGTTGCAGTGAGCCGAGATCGCGCCATTGCACTCTAGCCTGGGAAACAAGAGCGAAACTCCGTTTAAAAAAAAAAAAAAAAAGGCATAGAGGGTGTGCATTCAGCTTATCCAAAGAACGTAGGGATTTTCGCTCTGGTCACAGTGTTTGTGGGTAGGGCAGGGGGAGGGAGGGGAGACGGACTTTTGGACTAATCACATTATTATGTGACAGAGGTCATAACAATGTCTGGTTGTAGAAGGACCAGTTATCTTCATGGCCACTGCAGTCAGAATATTGGCCTCAACAATCCAACTCCTATTAACATTCAGAAAGTAAACACAGAGGAAGAGTCTGAACTGAGAGGGTCGGGGAGGAGGGAGTAAGGGATTACCCTTAAAAAAAAAAGGATGGGCTACATTTTGCAATAAGATTGGTAAAATTATTCCTGCAGAGTTAACAGTGATAAGAATTAGAGCCCACAACTTCAAAAACAGCTTTGAGTGGCAGAAAGTATCTTCCCCAGATGCCTTATTGAATTTGAATTTGCTAACCAGCTCAATCGCCTTTATGCAGTCAGTTAGGGCAGATTTCTATGGCTAATGAAGATGAAAACAGTGAGTTCCCGTATGTCAGCCAGGAACTGTCCCACTGGATTTGTGGGGCGCACGGCAGCATCTACCTCCATTCTCCTCCAGGTGGACAGACCCATTCTCCCTCAAAGGCACTTAGGCTTATACTTGGATTTTAGAAAGCAATAACAATTTATAGTTAGCTTTGAATTTGATAAGATTCTAGGTAGTGTCTTCAGAATTCCATGTCATTAACCTGGCCAAGGCCTTTCAGATTTCAACAGTCCTTATCGGACCCGAAACTGGAAGACTGGCCCTTTTTTCATACATTTACAAAGCAAACAGAGCCCATTTTTTTGAAAAGAGATGGGAGAGGAAGCTTCTCTCTCAGGACATCGAAGATGGAATTCTGATAGATCCTCAGAGAGCAAAAGGTGACCATTAAATCTGAATCACGCCACTGGTTTTCATACAGTATATCCTGCTATTACTACACATCCAATATTGAGAACCAGGATATCTATGGTATTGTGATCATTTCCCCTCACTTGAGCCTTGGCATAGGTATCCTAGTGTTGTAGATCTATGCCAAGGCTCAAGTAAGGGGAAATGATCACTTACTTCCCAGGGGCAGTATTTACTTAAACATCCCTCCAAGAAGAGCTAAGTTGTTGAATTTGTACTCAAGACCCAGGGCTGCTCTAGGAAAGGGTGAGAACGTGGCATGGGATGAGCTGAGAGGTGCTGAATCCTGAACTTAAGGGTGATTCCAGAGGTGCCCTCCAATCTAGGGTTGCCATGCAATATTTGGGATATAGGTATACTAAAAAAATTATCAGTTGTCTCTCTGAAATTCAAAGTTTTTTTACTTTGTATTTTATCTTTGTATTACCTGTCTTTATTTATATTTTAAAATTCTGTTTTCTATCTGGCATCCCTATTTTAATCACAATCTCCAAAACTAAAGAACAGAGCCAAAGTGTCAGTTCATGTAAGCTAGACAGAAAGGTAGATTCTAGTAACCAGGCAAGGGGATCAATTAGAGAGAACCAACAATGACAGATTAAAACAAGATATTTTGAGTTGTTGGAAGCAATAGAAGTTATTGACTGACTGAAACATGCAGTGTGCTATATAATAGCGTTTGGTGAAGGCAGGACAGTTAATAGAAATGAGTGTCTAAGAGACAGGTACTGCTATTACTCCTATTTTTGCTGAAGAAATGGAGGCATGCAGAGTATAGGTAACCTACTCCAGGGAGCACAAGCAGTAGAATCAGAACTAGAACTGGAATTGGCCTCCCGTGGCCAAGTCTTGCAAACTTGATACTCTATTTAGGAGGGCTTTGCTCTTTTATTTGCTTACACAAATTTTAGGTGCTTAACAACATCAGAAACTCCCTTCTGAAGACAGTTTTCTGTGTGCAGCTTAAGGACAGGTTGATGGAAAGAAAAATCAGAGTTATCAGATTCTCCTTTAATATTAGCTGATTAATAAAGACATTGTTTAGAAGAGTAAGTTTTAGATAATAGTAATATGTGGTTGTTTTAAAAAGCCACAGTTCATTTGTATTCTGTTGTCAGTTACAATGCCTTCTATTTCAGGAACAACTGACTTCTGATCTGTTCGCGGATTCAGTAAGACCCTTGTTGAGAATGTCATGGGTGTCAAGCCCTGCACTAGACACTAGATACGGTCATGAAAAGATGCAGAGTGCACAGTGCCCGCTCTCTGAGAAACTATGCTTCTCTCGTTGCATTTTGTGCAGACCTGGATTTTCTCTTTGCCCCTCCAGACCCCTACTGACCCTGCTGTGTGGCCTGGAAGACTAACTTCTTCCCCCTTCATCTTTTAGATTTCTGCTTTTCACAAGGTTTGGTCTGCAGCAGGAACTGGGGAGATGGAAAAGGTGGAGAGAGGTTGGGGGTTTCTTGCCTGCTCCTTCCCTAAGAGAAATCTGTTTCTCTTCTAGAGTCTCAGATCCTGCAAGCAGCCCCTCTTCACAGCCAGATCTCTGAGTTCTCATATTTGTCCCCTGCCTGCCACTTCCCAACAGGCTGACGGGTGATAAAGGCCTCCCTTGTTGCTGATTCCTGGGGCTTTACCATAGCTTGTCAGTCTCCTCAATCCTGTGCTGGTTTCTCTAGATAGTCTGTCAATTTAAGTCCGTTCAGTGACCCCTTTGAGTGCGTCATCTCTTTCCAGCTGGGATGCTGACTGATAGAAGCATTGTAATCCCTCCAAAGTTACTGCTTTGCAGATGGTCTATAAATTCTGATGAAAAAAGAAATTCAAACCAAAGACAAAAAACTGAAGCAATGAAATACACTTGGGAGAAAGTAAAACTATAATGACATGCATGCTGACTGTACCCCAAGGAGAAAACAGGCCAGCACTGCCAGTACAGTTGACCCCTAAACAATGTGGGGTTTGGAGACCAACACCCCCACGCAGTGGAAAATCCATGTATGACTGCCCCAAAACTTAACTACTAATAGCCTACTGTTGACCAGAAGCCTTACCAATTAACATATATTTTGTATGTTATATGTATTATATATGGTATTCTTACAATAAAGTAAGCCAGAGAAAAGAAAATATTATTAAGAAAATCAAAAGGAAGAGAAAATATATTTATTATTTATTAAGTGGAAGTGGATCATCATAAAGGTCTTCCTTTTCTTCGCCTTGATGTTGAGTAGGCTGAGGAGGAGGAGGAAGAAGAGGGATTGGTCTTGATGTCTCAGGGGTGGCAGAAGCAGAAGAGGTGATGGAGGTGGAAGGGGAGGCAGGAGAGGCCAGTGCAGTCTGTGTAATTCGTATAGAAAAAAATCTGTGTGTAAGTGGACCTATGCAGTTCAAACCCCTGTTGTTCAAAGATCAGCTGTATAGCGTATTCCCATTCCGCCTACCAGAGTCCATCCCAAAAGAACTTCTTGTGTATGAATTATCAATGCATCATGTACTTGTGTAACCATGCAAACAGCATCCACTGCTAAACTACACAGTACACATTTCTATACATATATTTTATATAAACATATACTCTATATACATTTCACATAATTAAGAGTTAGAAGAATTGATTAGGTTTAGTAAAGAGGAAAGGCACCACCCAGGGCAAATGACTGCTGCATTTGGTCAGAGATTTCTCAGAGGACCAAACACACTTCGAGCTGTCGAAAGAGATATAAAGAATAAAGAAGGATGTTATGGGAAGAAGCTTTTGTTTCTGTGTAAGGAAAAACTTTATAACAGTGTGAGGTCCCAAAATAATTTTGTGGATTAACTATATGTTGTTTGCTCATAAGAATCACTTGACTTTGGCTTTTGGTTATATAACCTATTTGGTTCTTTAAAGAAAATTTTATGAGCTTAATTATGTGGCAAAAACAGCTTAAAAAAAAAGATTTTCTGGGCAATCCCTAATAGCCCTCTTAATATAAGGCATGCCCGTTTTAGCCCCCTCATCTGCTGAAGGCTGGATTTAAAGGAGCCTTTTCTTTCTATCTCTCTCTCTCTCTTTTTTTTTTTTTTGAAACACTATCTTGCTTAGTCAACCAGGCTGGAGTGCAGTGGCACCATCATAGTTCAGTGCAGCCTTGACTTCTCGGGCTCAAGTGATCCTCCCACCTCAGTCTCCAGAGTAGCTGCCACTACAGGAGCCACCATGACCTGCTAATTTTTTGATTTTTTTGTAGAGACAGTATCCTGCTGTGTTGCCTAGGCTGGTCTCTAACTCCTGAGCTCATGATCTTCCTGCCTTAGCCTCCCAAAGTGCTGGGATTACAGATGTGAGCCACTACACCCAGCCTTATAGAGCCTTAATGGAAAATGACATCTTGCCAGAAAAATGTAGGCATTAGTAGTCTTTTGCAACTGATAAGTGTGTCCTATTAAACAAAAACATAGTTCATAATGTATTAATATATAAGTAAATCTGCCAGAACACCGGCTCATAGTGCTATGTAAGTGCCTACTAGTATTTTTATTGTTGTTGTTACTTTGCTTTGACAACATCTCATCACATTACAGTTTTAGTTCCAGTGGGTCCTGTGTCACTCTTCCAGAGTGCAAGGTGCTCCGCCTGGGGCCTCTTCACTTTCAGGGACAGTTTGTCTCAACTCTCACCACCCCCACCCCATGGGAAGTCACACCTGGTCTCTACTTCTACAGAGAGGAGCAGAGTCTTCAGGGCGTGGCTGGCCCAGCTTCCTGGTTTCTGCCCCTCAGTGAGGCCTTGTTTCCTCTCCTGCAGCGCCCAGCTTGGGTTCCACCTCGAAGGCTACAGCAAGGCACCGACAGCCACAAGCGGTCACACGCAGACCTTCTACAGAACCTCACTCCAAGACAGGAGATAGAGATGAGGCTGGGGGAAAATTACCATTAGTCTCCAAAGTAAAAGGAAAGTGGGACTTTCTGTCTGCCAATTATGGTAGATCATTCACGTGACCCAACAGCCAGTTACAAATACTGTCACCAGTAACCTTAAACTAGAACGGACCATTAACACTACTCATTAGTTGTTTAAACTTTATGTAATAATTAAGTTGAATGCTTCTAATTTTGCAGTTTTTATTTTCTCAAAATATTTTCAAGTCTTTGTAAGATTCTCCTTGCTTATCACCTTCACATAGTATGAGGCTTATTTTTATTTTTGGTTCACATCAAAATGCAACTAATATTAATTTGTTATTGCAGTTATAATTTTTATATACACAACTTATTGCAGTGGGAAAGACCTGAGAGATTCCTAAATAGAAGGAAACTCAGAAGTCATTTTCCCAAAAAAATTGTAGAAACATTGCCTTTTCAAAGATATTAATTTATATTTTTATCAGTTTAAAAAGCAAATTACGGGTGGTTCATGCCTGTAATCTTAGCATTTTGGGAGGCTGAGGCAGGAGGATCAGTTGAGCCCAGGAGTTCAAGTCCAGCCTGGGGAACATAGCAAGACCCTGTTTCTATAAAAAATTAAAAAAAAAAAAAAACTATCTGGGCATGGTGGCACACACCTGTAGTCCCAGCTATTTTGGGAGACTGAGGCAGAAGGATCACTTGAGTCCAGGAGGTCAAGGCTGCAGTGAGCCATGCACTCTAGCCTGGGCAACAGAGTGAGACTCTGTTTCTAAAAAAAAGAAAAAGAATTGCAAAATGCCATCTAACTGATCACTTTCGAGCTGCTGACTTTAACAAAGAAACTTGTCCCTTGTTTAAGTCTGATGAAAAAGTTAATCCATCAGCAAAAAACCCTTCAGGAGTAAAAATATAATATCAATTTATTTGGGTTCAATTCAACCAATATTTGTTTATCATTTATTATGTACCAGGTACATTTCAAGGCACTGTAAATTTGGAGATGACTAAGGTGGCCCTGACCTCAGAAGCTCACAATTTCTCCCTGTGACAGGAAGCTAGACGAGGCACTCTAGTACAATGCTTGGATCTGCACTGGAACCTGGGGCATGGGGCCCTGAGAGAGTGCCACAGAGGCTGTTGGCTTCTTCTGAAGGGAGCTTGGGCTTATTCGGTCCCATGTCTGTCCCCTGTGAGAGACTAGATACTGCTTGAGGACGAGGGCCAAGTCTTTACTGCTCTTTATTCCTGCTGAAAGTTCAGGGATCAATTTATCTTTTTTATATAAAAGAAAGAGAAAAAGGGGGAGAGAGAGAGAAGGAGAAAGAGAAGAAGGATAAGGAGGAGAAGGAGAAAAGGAAGGAAGGAAGATGTTTTGGGCTGAATTGTGCACCCTCAAAATTCATACATTGAAGTCCTAACCACCAGTACCTCAGAGTATGACTCTATTTGGAAACAGGATTTTTAAAGAGGTAATTAAGGTAAAATGAGGTCATATGGGTAGCTCCTGATCTAGTAGGACTGGTAAGAAGGGGAGATTAGGACACAGACACACATGGAGGGAAGACCATGTAAGGACACAGGAGAAGGTGACCATCTGCAAACCAAGGAGGGAGGTCTCAGAAAAAAACCAAACCTGCCAACGCCTTGATCTCACACTTCTAGCCTCGAGGACTGTGAGGAATACATTTTTGTTGTTTAAGCCACCAAGTCAGTGGTGTTTATTATGGCAGCCCTGTCAAACTAATACAGAAAGAAGGAACATAAGAGGTCTTTCTTGAGTCAAACATTAAAGAATGAATGTGATTTTTTCTAAATTGAAAAAGGAAGAAGGAATGATTAATTTTGCCTGGAATAGGACAAGTCAGTAAAGATTTCATAGAGGAGATGACATTTGAGCCGGATCTTGAAGAGGTGCCAGAACTTGCCACTTGGAGAAGGAGACAAGAGGTTAAGGCAGAACAGGAAGAGTAACTCTATTACAAAGAATCGCAAGTACGTGGAAAACAGATCTAACAGGGATATCTGACGTGTGGAATTGAGGTGAAAGACTCATGGGAAATAAGACTGGACAGATAGATGAGGAAGGACCAGACTATGGAAGACCAGTGGTAGAACAAGAAGGTAGTTTACATAGAAAAAAGAACTGATCTGGTCTTCAGTTTAGAAACAGATACCTGGAGGAGAAGAGAAGGGTGAAGAGAGAGCAGGAGATTAGTCAGGATCTGTCACCGTGGTGTAGACAGAAGGGGAGGAGGCTCTGAGCTCGAGAGAGGGGGGCATGGGAATGAAAAGGTGAGTGCCAATGTCACATTGTGGGTGGAATCTCTAGAAATGATTGACCACAGCAGAAGCTGTGCTCAACAATCACACTAAGATTTTAAGCCAGGAAAGGGAAGATAACTGCACCAGGGGCAGAAATACAAAGTCAGGAGGAGGCACTGGCTATGATTGAGGGGAGATGATTTTATTTTAGATTTGAAGTGTGATAAAACTAATGTGTGTTGCAGTGATTAGGAGAGATCTGGAAGGAGAAGCTGCACTCTGGAAGAGGGTTTAGTGCCATCTGGACCCCAGTCTGTGGAGGCCACGTCATATCAGAGCAGACCTCCCACGTATGGCTGTGTTCCAGCGTTAGTCGTAAACCATTAATAGACACACTGTCCCTTTCATGGCCCCCACCCTCCTGACTACTGCCCTTGAGAATATAACCTTGCTTTACCCTTCCTTGGAGAAGGTAAGTTATGGTGCCATAAAAAATATCCCAAAGTCTCAATGGCTCAAACAGTAAAGATTTATTTCTTGTTCACATTATACATCACGGTGTCATTGTCCTCCCTCTGGATCCAGGCCACGGAGCTGCTGTTCATAGTCATCATGGCATCAGGAAGAGAGAGCTTGGCAAAGCCTTCGTGTGCACTTAAAACTTTCATCCCAGAGAGGCCCAAGCGCCGAGAGACACACCTCCTGTGTGGAAGGATTCCAGATGACAGATACAAAGGCAGCATGGGTTAACTGTCCAGCCCTCAGAATGCGCTGTGCCCTACTGTACTCCCCTCATAAAGCGGGGGGCCTTCGCAATGGGGAAGCCAGGCAAACACCACGTCGGCCCAGTGACCAAGGTCTACACGCATCTGTGATGAGACATATTGGTAGCAGGATCTTAATGGGATGTGATGAGAAGGGCGTCTCTCCTCTGTGGTCTTCCCACCCCAACCCCATACCCTCAGTCTGATAATCATGGTGAAAACATCAGACAAACGCAAATTGAAGTATATTCTACAAAATACCTGCCCTGGATTCCTCAAAACTGTCAAAGTCATCGAAAATGAGGAAAGTCTGAGAAACTGCCACAGCCCAGAGGAGGCTAAAAAAAAAGATGACAAACAAATGCAATGTGATGTCCTGGATGGGACCCCGGACAGAAAACGGACCTTAGGGGAAACCTAGTGAAATCTGAGTAACATGTGCACTTTAGTTAATGCACCAAAGTTGGTTCCTTAACTATGACAAAGGTAGCCAGAAAATGTAAGGTGTTACTAGTAGGAGAAACTGGGGGAGGGGCATGTGGAAACTCCATATGCTATCCTCGCAACTTTTCTTCAAATCAAAGTATTCTTAAGAAAAGTGTTTATATAAATTAAACAAAAAAGAGGTGCATGCCATTTCCACTCACAGAATTAACCCAAGAACTCGGAGCTCCTTGCTCACACCAGATTCTTCCTCTCAAATACTGTCACTCAATATCATGAGATTATGAAAATAAAGGAAGTCTATACCTTGTGGCCAGGAGTGACCAAATACTAAATAAATTTTTCAACTGTAGTTAGACGGAGAAAGGAAATCAAGTGAAATGGTATGCACCAATATTCTGTAAAACAAAGCAAAACAGCAAAGAGAAATAATATTTATTCAGGATTACCACTTCCAATTTCATTGACCTGTGGCCACACCTAACCCATGTGGCAGACGGTGGCAGTGTGCAGTCCCACCGTGTGTCTAGGGGATTTGTGGCTGTGCCTTCTTCCACCCTTTGGACCTGAAGCTTAGTGCCACTTCTCAGACTCCTGTGCCCTCGTGTGACTCGTTGGCTAGGATTTCGATTTTTTTCTTTACTCATCCTGGGTGACTGTCTCCCTTGGTCCAGTCTGATCCCTGGAACACCCTAAAACACAAAGTCCTTTTTTGTGTATCATGCTTCTACACTGCCTGCCTGGCCCCAGGAGCGCCGTGGACAGAGAGAATAACATCTGCGTTACAAAAGGTTATCAGAACGCAGTAGAATTGAGGCTAGTGAGGAGGGTGGAATGGAACAGACCTAGAACCATGCATGATCTGCAGGGGACACAGCAAGGGGCCTGGCTGGCTAGGCTAAAGGGTTTATGTGAGGGTGTACTAAGGAAACTGGAGGGAGATGTGGTGTTGGGTTGCGAAGGGTCCTGTGTGCTTGGCAGAGAAGCTTGCGCTTCTCCGAGTGGAGAGATTCCACTGTGTCAGTGGAAGGGTGCAGGTTGCCTTGTTCTCCACAGAGGAATCTGGTGACAGTGCTCAGGAGGGATGGTGGCAGACATCAGAAATCAAAATCTGAAAGCCAGAACCCATGTTCATTCAAATTACCATGAACATTCTGGAATGGAAAACAATAATAAAAAGAGGTCCAAAGGTGTGAGATGGAAGCTGTCAGTTTTAACTCCAAAATATACTTATCTCTTGTACACTATCTGTGGTTGAGATCCACAAGAAAGGGAGCTCCCAGAGTCATATGTTTAGATGTTTTGTTTACAAATAAACTGTCACAGCATAGAAGTTTTCCTTCTCTCTCATCTGATTTTTTTTTCTTGGAGCAGTTTATAGTCTATATTTCCACTTCTCCTCTCAAAGTAACATACACCTTTGAATGGCTCGCAGGGTCACTTCTGCCTTCAACAAATTAGCAGCTGGGCCAGGAGCCAAGATCATGCAGTTTGGTGTTTCCAAGTGGCCTTGTTGCATCTGCTGGGCTAAATTACCAGTTTGTGGGACCAGCGGGCCCCAGTGTGTGTTGCTATGCCCCTGGGAGAGAGTCTCGTGTTTCTCTAGTGTCAGGTCTGTAGTCAGTATCATTACATTCTCATTTCTTCAAATATTGCCACTGATTGGAATTTGTTTTACAAAAGAGTCACTGAGTTGGAGTCATTGCTACAAGAGTGCATTGACTTCTAGAGCAAATATAATAAAAGGTGAGTAGAAATTAGGTAATGAAGTAACAAATGTTTGGGGAAAGTGCTGGCTGCCGGCGTCCTGCTCCTGGATATCCAACACAGCATCTGTGAATTGCGCTCATCCAAGCTGCCATCAATCTGCCTTCTCTCTGCTGAAAACCTGTCTGCTATTCTCATGAATTGCCAGCTAGGTAATAATTATATCTGTCCTAGGCACTTTACTCCTTTACAGAATTTTTTATAGTGTCCGTGGGATTCCTTTCCTAACACAGAACACGACAAGGTACAACAGTTAGGCACAGTGCATGATGTGAGGGTAAAGAGAAAGGCAGGCCGGGCGCGGTGGCTCATGCCTGTAATCCCAGCACTTTGGGAGGCCAAGATGGGTGGATCACGAGGTCAGGAGATGGAGACCATCCTGGCTAACACAGTGAAACCTCGTCTCTACTACAAATACAAAAAATTAGCAGGGCGTGGTGGCGGGCGCCTGTAGTCCCAGCTACTCAGGAGGCTGAGGCAGAGAATGGCGTGAACCCGGGAGGCGGAGCTTGCAGCGAGCCAAGATTGCGCCACTGCACTCCAGCCTGGGCAACAGAACGAGACTCCGTCTCAAAAAAAAAAAAAAAAAAAGAGAAAGGCAATGTTGGCAGCCTACTGATAAGCTTCCAAATGTCTCATTTCTTTTTGCTGAGGCTTTTGATTTTGCTTTGTTTCAGAAAACATTAGCATGTAAAATTTGATTTGGCTCTCCCGCTCCCTAGATTAGAAGTTAATAAATTTCATTGGTATTTGATCTCGCCACAGGCTATTTCATTAGCTAAAGAAAAGTTTCATTAATTTTAGTGACCTCATAACTATACTGGATGGTAGACTCTGATGTGAGCAGGTAGTTACACTGTTCCTATTCGGTTTAATCTTTATATTTCCCTTGGAGATGGATGGCATGGCCCTGCTAATTTTCGCAGCTATATAAATATAGATTAAAAACAGCATCTAAGATTGGATACTGTTATGGTTCTCCTGTCTGTTCTTAGGGTAATCAGGGATGCTTCTTTGTGGGAGGGACTGCCTGGAGCAAAGGGGCCCTCCCCAGGACTTGTGGGAGGGAAGCAGGCAAGAGACATTCAGACAAAGCCCATTAGGCACCTGGAGAACTTGACAGGCTATGATGATACAGACAAATCATGGTTCCCTTGCCATTTCTTTTGCAGAAAGTAAAGAATTTTAGATCTATTACATGAATATGTTTAAAACACAAACAATTCATTGCTCCTGCTGGTAGCTTTTAAGATAAGTGGAAGAAATTATTATCCTAAATGGCATTTGAACTGTATAGTGAAAGCCCAATTTTATCTATTGTTTTGTATTTAAAACATTCAGAATAATGACAGATATGCACAACAACATGGATGTACCTCACAAACATGAAGTTGAGCAAAAGAATCCAGGCCCAGAAGATTATATGTTATTATTCTATTTATGTAATAGTTATCTAAACAAAACAAAACAAAAACAGACAAAACCAATCTGTGGCATTAGAAGACCAGAGTGGTTATAGTCGGGGGTAGTGATGGGGGGTGGTTATAGTGGTTATAATTGGGAGTAATGATGGGGGTGGTTATAGCGGTTAGAGTTGGGGGTAGTGATGTGGGGGCAGGAAAGGGCCATCTGGGGGTGCTGAAGATGTTCTATTTTTGATACTGAGTTTATTCACTCTGAAATAGGTCATTGCAAGTTGTATACTTTTTTTGTAAATAGTTTGCATTTCATTAAAAATTTAAACAAATAAAAAGAGAATTCACACACACACACACACACACACACACAAGACAGAGAGGGCGAGAGAGAGCAAGAGAGTGAGAAAGCTAGAGAGAGAGAATGTTTACATAAATGATCTCGTTTAATTTCCTGACAACAACCTGTGAAGGAGGCTTGGGGGATGTGAGGGCCCCACCCCCTGAGATGCTGTGGGTCTTGGAGAACTAAGTGCTTTTGACCCACCTGTCTTCTAAAGAGGGTCCAGTGCCCTCCCTTCCCCTCCCCTGCACCTCACTGCCTGCTGGCAGGGCTCACCCATTGTAATGTGTGGGTAAAATCAGGGGAGATGGACAAAGCCAGAGCCCTCTTGATGCTGAGTCTAGTATAGAGGAGAAGCGAAAGGCACACAGAATCCTGTACTCTGATTAGTAAGGAGAAAACCCAGATCAGAGGTCTGTAGTTTTTAAAAGCCAGTTAAACCCGGGAGGGTCCTCATAAACCCTCATGTGCAAAGGGCTTCCAAACACACTTGGTTCATAAATTAACAGCTAAACAGGAACATGGATCCCCACCGATGGCTCCATGTGGGAGTCTGAGACCAGCAAGTACTCAGCGACCACCATGGATGCCTTGTGTATTATTCGTCTCCTATTGAGAGGTGACAGTGTGCTGGCAGTCCTCACAGCCCTCGCTTGCTCTTGGCGCCTCCTCTGCCTGGGCTCCCACTTTGGCGGCACTTGAGGAGCCCTTCAGCCCACCGCTGCACTGTGGGAGCCCCTTTCTGGGCTGGCCAAGGCCAGAGCCGGCTCCCTCAGCTTGCAGGGAGGTGTGGAGGGAAAGGTGCGAGCGGGAACCTGGGCGGCACGCGGCGCTTGCGGGCCAGCTGGAGTTCCGGGTGGGCGTGGGCTTGGCGGGCCCTGCACTGGGAGCAGCCAGCCGGCCCTGCCGGCCCGGGCAATGAGGGACTTAGCACCCGGGCCAGTGGCTGCGGAGGGTGTACTGGGTCCCCCAGCAGTGCCAGCCCGCTGACGCTGCACCCGATTTCTCGCTGGGCCTTAGCTGCCTTCCCACGGGGCAGGCCTCGGGACTGCAGCCCGCCATGTCTGAGCCTTCCCCCGCCTCCGTGGGCTCCTGTGCAGCCCGAGCCTCCCCGATGAGCGGCGCCCCCTGCTCCACGGCGCCCAGTCCCATCGACTACCCAAGGGCTGAGGAGTGCGAGCGCATGGCGTGGGACTGGCAGGCAGCTCCACCTGCAGCCCCGGTGCGGGATCCACTGGGTGAAGCCAGCTGGGCTCCTGAGTCTGGTGGGGACGTGGAGAACCTTTATGTCTAGCTCAGGGATTGTAAATACACCAATCGGCACTCTGTATCTAGCTCAAGGTTTGTAAACACACCAATCAGCACCCTGTGTTTAGCTCAGGGTTTGTGAGTGCACCAATGGACACTCTGTATCTAGCTGCGCTGGTGGGGCCTTGGAGAACCTTTGTGTCCATACTCTGTATCTAACTAATCTAATGGGGACGTGGAGAACCTTTGTATCTAGCTCAGGGATTGTAAATGCACCAATCAGCGCCCTGTCAAAACAGACCACTGGGCTCTGCCAATCAGCAGGATGTGGGTGGGGCCAGATAAGAGAATAAAAGCAGGCTGCAGGCGCCAGCAGTGGCAACCCACTCAGATCGCTTTCCACACTGGGGAAGCTTTGTTCTTTTGCTTTTTGCAGTAAATCTTGCTACTGCTCACTCTTTGGGTCCACACTGCTTTTATGAGCTGTAACACTCACTGTGAAGGTCTGCAGTTTCACTCCTGAGCCAGCGAGACCACGAACCCACCAGGAGGAAGAAACTCCGAACACATCTGAACATCAGAAGGAACAAACTCCAGACACGCCGCCTTTAAGAACTGTAACACTCACGGCGAGGGTCCGCGGCTTCATTCTTGAAGTCAGTGAGACCAAGAACCCACCAATTCCGGACACACTATCACTTCTGTAACAAAATACCACAAATTTCGTGGCTTAAAACAACACAAATGTATTATCTTTTGTGTGTGTGGTTTTTTTTTCTTATTTTAGGGACAGGGTCTTTCTATGTTGCTCAGGCTGGACTTAAACTCCTGGGCTCAAGTGATCCTCCTGCCTGCCTCAGCCCCTCTTCCCTAACGCCTGCCTCAGGAGCTGGGACTACAGGTACGAGCCACTGGGCCCAGCTACAGATGTGATATCTGAAATGTGTTCTCCATGGGTCTTACTGGACTACACTCAAGGTGTCAGCAGGACTGCATTCCTTTCTGGAGGCTCAAGAGGGGAGAATCTGTTTCCTTGAGCATTCAGATTGTTGGTGGAATTCAGTTCTCTGTGATTGTAGGACTGAGGTCCCTATTTCCTTGCTGACATCAGCGGGGTCATTCCCAGCTTCTAGAGGCCACCCCCGCATTCCCTGACTCTAGCCTCTTTCTCCATCTTCAAAGCGAGCAACAGTGAGTGGAGTCCCTCTCATGATTTGAATCTCTCCTGTCTTCTCATCTCTCTGACATCAGCCAGTTCTCTACTTTTAAGAGCTCATAGATTGTGCCCTCCTAGTTAATTCTGGATAATTGCCCCATCTTGAGATCTATAACCTTAACCACATCTGCAAAGCACCCTTTGTTGTATTACGTAAAGGGTTCCAGGGACCAGGGCATGGACATCTCTGGGGGCTGTTATTTGGCCTACCACATCTCAGAACACTATACGGAAGAGACTTTACCCGAAACATGAGCACACGCACATCTGGGGCCGGCCCTCCTGATTGTGGCTGTGGCACTGAAGAATTTGCAGCAGGTAATGCAAAGCATTAGCAGACCTAGAGTGTGCTCTTTGTCTTACATCTTGGGTGTGAAACAATTCATTGCTGGTGTTAGAAAGCAGATTCCACTGAGCCAGGAGAAACATGAGGAAGCCACCAAAGCAGTCCCATGTATGTTTTTAAAAAGTTGCCATAGGGCCCGGCACGGTGGCTCACGCCTGGAATGCCAGCACTTTGGGAGGCCAAAGCAGGTGGATCACTTGAGGCTAGGATTTCAAGACCAGCCTGGTCAACATGATAAAACCCTGTCTCTACTAAAAATACAAAAATTTGCTGGGCATGATGGCATGCACCTGTAATCCCAGCTACTCAGGAGGCTGAGGCAGGAGAATTGCTTGAATCCGGGAGATGGAGGTTGCAGTGAGCGAGATTGCGTCACTGCACTCCAGCCTGGGCAACAGAGTGAGACTCTGCCTCAAAAAAAAAAAAAAAAAAAGTTACCATAACCCACACAGTAGCATTGGCATCACTTTCAGGTGACAAAATGCGGGAGCTGTGTGCTAACATCACCATGAGAATGCTGGTGCTGTGGGAGTGCACCACCGACTGCGTGAAACCGACTGCGTGAAACCGACAGGACAGAGGTGTCCACTCCTCCAGGACAATTGGTGCTGTCCCCATGGGTCAAGTGGTGACTGGTACTCTAGGTGCAGATCTGGTGGTCACTTTTTCCAAGTCAAAACAACGACCGAGGCAACTTCTATTGAAATGCTTTGCTTACAGCAAAGTTCTGCCTCATGACAGCATAGACTTCAGCATCAGAAACCTGTCCATCAGCGATGTTCATTGCAGAAGGAATGGCTTCTCCCTGCTGTGGAAGCTTCCAACTTTGCTGCATAGATGAGAACCCTGGGCCATCCAGGCCTAATCAGAGTTGGCCAACCCCCAGGCTGAGTGGCCACACTGCTCCGTTGTTTGCAAGGAGAAGTTTGATGTGGCAAGAAGCTGGAAAAGGCACAACATCTGGAAGTCTGGTGATGATATTGCAGTTGGTGTGGTTCCTGCCAGGGTCACAAGTATAAAGAGCTTCTCAGACCTGAGATAGTTTTGCTGTCAAGATATGACAGAGTCTGCAGCTGTGGGTGTCATGAAGACAGTTAACAAGAAGGCTGATGGAGGCAGCAAGACAAAATGTCCATCCAGAAATCTGAGGTTAAAAGAATATTCCATCCCACATCTGTGCCCTAGTCTCAATCTGACCCAGAATTGACTCGGCACCATTTGTCCTGATGGACAATTTGAGTCATTTGTGTTCAAGGGTAAAACATCGGCTACTGGTACAATGGACCATAAAAGCTTCAAAAGGAAAAGAATGTTTTGTGGACTAGTTGTTTCACAGTAATATTAAATTTTTAGATTTCAAAATAGATGTTTTAAAATGGAAACAACGTGACCAAAAATTGGCCTCAGAATTTTCAGCCCATTAAAACAAAATTTAATGTGGAAAAAAATTAAAAAGAAATACTGTAGGATAAAGATGAGAAAATCTTCTAGGAACTGGAACAAAAATACAAAGGCATTTTAAAAATAGGAGAAAAAGACAAAATTAAATGGTCTATCCACAAGGCCCAACATCCTACTAAAAGGAATTCCAAGTGAGAACGAGGGAAATGGAGGGAAGAGTTTGTCAAAGATGTCATTTAAGTAAAAATTTCAGAAATGAAAGACACAAGGCCTCAGGGTGTATCTACCACATGCCAGCACACGATGAGTGCAAAACACCAGCAGCAAGGTATGTCAGCATGTGTTCTCAGAGGCTGAGATAAAAAGATTTAAAAATGCTCCACAGAGGAAAACGTAGCTCATATACAGAGAATGAAAATTCAAATGCTATTGGACTTTTCAACAGTCCTGTTGGAAGCTCGGAAACTGAGCAGCAGGCCTTCAAATTTCTGAGGGAAAATGACATCTATCCTAGGATTCTATATGCAGTTAACTGGGTATAGTCAGATGGCACGACAAAGACAATTTCAGACAGGCAAGGTCTAAAAAACATGTATTTTCCATGCACACTTCTTAATAAACTTAATCAAAAGAAGAAATAAATTGAGAAAAATGATTTGGGATTCAGATCCCACACAGGAGAGAGTCACAGGGAGTTCCCAGGTTGTGCTGGGTGGAGCCCCAGGTGTGTGGGCCAGGCCTGGGGAACAGCCTGTGCAGGTGGGTCAAGAAGATAGGAGGCTTCAGGAGGGATGTTTCCAAGAAAAAAAAAAAAGGTGTATTATCTGATACCTTTGTCTATATTTTATTCAGAGGAATTTTGTAGCTTTGTTTGAAGAATTTGATTAGGAATAAGTGACAGGTACATAGAAAACTGCACAAACGAAAAGAACATACTATCTCTGGAAAAACAATGTTGTGCTAGTAACAAAATGTATTTATAGTATATTATGTGGCTCAGCCTTGAGCCATATTCACATGGTTGTAAATAAAGTAAACATTACATATTGATTGAGCCAAAACTTGTGACATAACTACTTTAAGAGGATGGGAGTGAGGAAGTACAGGCAGTGGGTGGGAAGGGGGATATGTTGATGTAAGAGCTGGATTCCAATCTTATGTAATAGGAAGTCAGTAGATGATGCTTAAAATTATAAAATGAAGAAAAAACCCACAACCATATAAGTGTATCATTTAAAAATACAAAGGAAAATTCCTAAGAAAATTCCTAAAAATTCCAAAGAAAAGCTAAAAGAGGCCAGATGTGGTGGCTCACAACTATAATCTCAGCACTTCAGGAGGCTGAGATGGGAGGATCACTTGAGGCCAGGAGTTCAAGACAGCCTGGGCAACATGGTGAGACACTCCCTCCCCCCTCCCCCTGCCCTGGTCTCTAAAAAAAAAAATTAGCTGAGAATGGTGGCACGTGCCAATAGTCATAGAGGCTGAAGCAAGAGGATTGCTTGAACCCAGGAATGAGCTGTTTTCACACCACTGCACTCCAACCTGGGCAACAGACTGAGACTCTGTCTCCAAAACAAAACAACACAAAAGAGTCACCTCTGGGGGTTGGAATTCAGGGTAGAGGAAACGGTGTCAGGAAACTTCTTTTTTAATTTCCAGGACTTGTGGTATATTTGAATGTAAAAACCTTTATGTAAAGCCGGGCTTGGTGGAGTGTTCCTTTAGTCTCAGCTACTCAGGAGGCTGAGGCAAGAGGATTCCTTGATCCCAGGAGTTCGAGACCAATCTGGGCAACATAGCATGACCACTGCCCACCCCTGCCTTCTGGCCCCATCTCATTTTTTTAAGAGAAAAAAATTTCAAAAAACCTTTATATATGTATTTCTCTGACAAAAATATAACTTAAAAAATTTCAAGGAACATTAAACTTTGCCTGCTATTATAGCAGTTATGTCTCAATACCATAATGTAGGTCAGACTTGCATAATGCATGGCTGCTGGTGGCATTACACAGCAGATGCATGACTCTCCCTGGGACAGCCAAGGGTAAGGCCAAACAGAGCTGGCTCATGCTTTCCTTCCAGGTTTCCCCATGGACTTCCTTGAGTCCACTTTTTTCTTCTCTCAGAATCACAGGGTTACTGAGAAAGAGTTGCTTAGATATGTATTGAGAGCCAAAAGTGACATATACTGAGGTCATTAATAATGTAGGGTGATTATCTGGAAAATTCTGAATAATTCAGCTAAAAACATGCAATATTTTAATGGCAGGGGCAGTTATTTGAATTGAATTTCCTGATTTTGGTCTCCACCCTAATCAAATTTACTAGACATCACTGGACATTGACTTCTCCCTGCCTGGTAGCCCAGTTTGAGAGCTTTGAGATAGAGTTAGCGCCCAACCCAGCTGGAATCCCCACATAGATTGACTTGAGTCCCTTTTGCTGATCTTAGAACTCACACTATCCACATGAGCATCTTTCTGAGGCCATCCTTTCCCTCTCTGTTGTTCCCCTGCTTTAAGCTCTATGCTAAGGGGCTGTCTGTATGAAGTTAGGAATCAGAATTCTGTGTATTTGCAGACACTGGAGGCTGACCCAAGCCAGGCTACCCACCTGATCCAGCTTTCCTATATTTGTATGTGGCAGAATCTAGTTGTGATTTTAACTCCGTGATGAACTGTGTGACCTTGGGCAAGCCATTCAACCTCTCTCAGCTTTAGTTTCTTGTACTTATGTCATGGGGTTGTTGGAAAGATTAATTTGGGGTTTAACCTGGTATGTTAACTGCTCAAAAAATATGAGCCATTTTTGAACAGAAATAACTAGAGAAAGCCTCTGCAGTGACATTGAGGGGACAGTCTTATCTCAATCAAGGCTTCGCTGGGCTTCTGAAGCATTTAGCACAAATCCTATCTGACATAAATTGGAGAAGTTGGTCCCTCTAAAATCTAGATTTTGTGGTTCTCAAACTTCAGTAGGTGTAAGACACACTTGGAGAGGTTGTAAAATGCAGATTCCTTGGCTCTACTCCTAAGGGATCCTAATTCTGGAAGTCTGGAGTGTGGCCCCAGAATCTGCATTTTCACAAGCACTGGAGAAAAACCTAGGGCTTCGTCCATCCTATGGTGTTTCAAAAGATCTCCCCCTCCAGCCCCATGGGTAGAGAATCAGGGTGGAGTCCAATTAGGGCGTGATTGGTGTCCAGGGAAGTGCTGAGCCCCCAGGGGACTAAGGTCCATGTTGGGTGGCCCACCTAAGGAGTAAGACAAAAGTAGGAACCAAAAGCACACAAAACCAAACAAATTGAATAATGAAGAATAGAAAATGAACAGAAATGAAGCAAGTCTTTAAAAAATAGAGACAGGATCTTGCTCTGTCACTCAGACTGAAGTGCAATGGCATGATCATACCTCACGGGTCTCAAACTCCTGGTCTCAAGCTATCCTCCTGAGTAGCTAAGACTACAGGTGTGTGTCACCATGCCTGACTAATTTACATTTTAAAAAATAGAAATGAGGTCTTGCTATGTTACCCAGGCTGGTCTCAAACTCCTGGCCTCAAGTGATCTTTGAGCCTCGGCCTCCCAAAGTGTTGGGTTTACAGGGATGAGCCACTGAGACTGACCAGAAGCAAGTCTTTTTACATGGTTGCATGGGCATGTCAAATGCACATAAAGGAATCAAGACAGAGTAAGATAGTTAAAAAACGACACAGGAGACAGGACTGTGAATGTCTGGTGTCCATAGCTCAGAATGTCCTGGAAAGAGGAGGGAAGGTGGGAAGAAGGGGATAGTAGATGACCTGATTCTGGGCCTTGGTGTCCCTATCTCATGGTACAGGACCCTGCCCTGGCGGGGGGGGGTCTCATGACAAGTGCCTCCTTAACTGAGGAAGGTCTTGGGCAGCAGCTCGGCAGACATAAGCCCTGAATCTCATGCTATATTTCAAAATGGGAGGATTCTCCCAGGCAAATAAATAAGGGAGTTGTTAACATTGACAAGATGGCCCCATGCAGAGTCAGTTCCTCTCACAGGCTGCTTGTAGAATTAAACAAAAATAATAACCAAATTACAGAGTCAAATTACAAAGAACAAAAAGTCTCTTTACCTACTGCTTCTGAAGTCTCCTTTCTCTTCTGTGTAAACTAATCTGATGAAATGAGCTGCTTTACTCGTTAAATATGTCAACTCCCTGGGGATGTATCCCGCCAGGGGCAGGCTGTGTAAGATCCAGCCTCTTCGTACCACCACTTCAGCTGCGATAAGAAGGTGCTTAACTTGACGGGTGAAATAGAGCGAGAACACTGGTGATAGTCACTGCTTAGTTCTAAGTGTGCTTCTGTGCAGTGATTTAAGCAGCACAGAAGAGGGGGAAGGGAGATTTAGATACATTTTATCTTTATCTTTAGTTCTGATAGGATATGGCTCACACATCCCAAACCCTAACCCTGCTTAATCTCCTTACTTGTGGGGAATTCAGCTACATCTAAATGTTTATGTGCTGCTGATGGTGGCAGGGGACATCTGTTTCAGAGGTACGTGCAGATCATCAGAAAATTATCTAATGACTCAGTGTCTCCCGGTAGAGGAAAACATTGGTCTAATTAGAAATCCTGAGCCAGAGCTTAAGTTTCAGATAGAAGACAGCATCCAGGGACAAGGAGGCTTTGTAATTACTCCCAGAATTCTTTTACATAGGGTTGTGTGTGTGTGTGTGCGCACGTGTGTGGTACGATGTGTGTGTGGACTGTGTGTGTGTATGGTTTGTGTGTTTGTGTGGTCTGTGTGTGTGTGTGTGTGGTCTGTGTGTATGGTCTGTGTGTGTGGTGTGTGTGTGTGTGTGTGTCTGTGTTTATGTGTGGTCTGTATGGTCTGTGTGTCTGTGTGTGGTCTCTATGTGTGTGTGTGTGATCTGTGTGATGTGTGTCTGTGTGCATGTGTGTGTATGTGTGGTCTGTGTGGTCTGTATGGTCTGTGCGTATGGTTGTGTGTCTGGTCTGTGTGCATGGTCTGTGTGTGTGTAGTCGGTGTGTATGTGGTTTGTGTGTGATCTGTGTGGTCTGTGTGTGTAGTGTGTGTGTGTGTGTGTGTAGTCTGTGTGTATGGTCTGAGTGTGTGTAGTCTGTGTGTATGTGGTCTGTGTGGTCCGTGTATAGTGTGTGTGTATGTGGTCTGTGTGTATGGTCTGCATGTGTGTAGTCTGTGTGTATGTGGTCTGTGTGGTCTGTGTGTATGGTCTGCGTGTGTGTAGTCTGTGTATGTGGTCTGTGTGTGTAGTGTGTGTCTGTGTGTATGTGGTCTGTGTGTGCAGTGTGTGTGTGTGTCGTCTGTGTGTATGGTCTGTGTGTGTACATGGTCTGTGTGTGTGTGGTCTGTGTGTAGTGTGTGTGTGTGGTCTGTGTGTATGGTCCGGGTGTGTGTGTGGTCTGTATGTATGGTCTTTGTGTGTGTGTGGTCTGTGTGTGTAGTGTAGTGTGTGTGGTCCATGTGTGTGGTGTTTGTGGTGTGTGTCTGTGTGTGGGAGTATGTTTACGGAGTGTGGTGTATGTTTGCATGATGTGCCAATGTAGCATGTGGGGCATGTGTGTGGTGTGGTGTAGGTGTGTGTGATGCCTGGTGTGTGTGTGTTGTTTGTGATGTGTGTGCGGCATGTGTGTGTGGTGTGTAGAGTATGCTGTGTGGGGTGTGTGTTTGTGATGTGTATGTGTTGTGTGCATGTGGGTGCATGTGTGTGTGGTGTGTAGAGTGTACTGTGTGGTGTGTGTGTGTGTGTGTGATGTGTATGTGTGGTGTGTGTGTGGGTGTGTGTGGGTGTGGTGTGTGGGGAGAGGAGAGGTGTTGGAAGGTCACCTCCATAGGGATGATGCTGTGTTGTGATTCCTTTCAGAGCTCAACACTGAGTTGGCATTCAGCACCCTGGACTTTTGACTGTTGTTAGAGTCCAGGTGAGTCATCCAGCTTCAGAACACAGTGACTGCTTCCAAGGTTCTGGGCCCCTTAAGGATCTATTTCCTAAGAGATGTGGTAGCTCAGTTCTGTCCTGCAGATAAAGGGTGGGAAGGAAGAAGGGAAAGGATTATACTTTTTCCCACTCCTTTTACCCCATAATGGGGAGGGGATGTGTGTGAGGGCCTCCTGCGTCTTGTTTTCCGCCTCTATTGAGTGGGTGAGGTCTTGCCTCCCTTTCTCGTGCAACTCTTTTAGTGGTTTACAACCTGCAGTCTCTCTGCTCCGTGTCCACAGAGCACAGGAAGCCAACAGCCAGGAGCAGCCTCTGGCATCAGAGGGAGTGGGTTCAAAGTCCAATTCTGCTACTTTCTAGCTGATAAACTGCTTAGCTCCCTGTCCATAAGTGGGCTTGATAGTAAGTGCTTATTACTTCCCAACGACGGGGAGATGCACACAAGCATCTAATGTGGTGGGTGGTACTAGATCGCCATGATTACCTCTGCAGCCACTTTTGGACGCTCGATGCAGCCACATTAGACACTGACCGAGGCCACTGCACACAGACCGGGTGCTGGGTATTGCGGGAACCAAGGAGCAAGCCAGCCAGTCCTGGGGCTCCGTCAGCATCTGGTCCACTGGAGAAGCAGATACATCTCTGGGCCTCATTATGGTCCATCTCTGCTTGGACTTTACATCCTCCACCACCTCACACTCAGCACATTCCAAGCTGAGGATGTTGTAACCTCCCCAAGCCCGCTTCCCCCAGGCTTCCTGCTGTGTCATCAATATCTTCACTTTCCTAGGAACCCAGGCTCCACATGTGGCCTCAGTAACCCCTCCTCTACTTCACACCTTCTGTACCATCGGGAGACCCCAGGGATTCAGCCTTTCATGGAGTGTCTCCCTGCCTGTCACAGTCCTCTTGCAACCCATCCTGCTGAAGATGTGATTTGTTTTAGCCTGGGGAAGAGCAGAGCTGCCTCCTGTGCCAGATAACCCTTGCTAACACATGGCTTTTAACATGCTCCTCACCTGCCCCAACCCAATGGTCCACAGAAAGTTGTGGCTATCTCTCCTCCCTCCAGTTCTGGCATGCTTTTCCTGCCTCATCCCTACTATTCCATGAATGAACCCCACATTTAAGGTAGGGTTTTCTCCCTTGCTGTATCCAAGTCAATCTAGACCTAGTGGCCCAGTTCTATTGACCAGCTGTCCCTGAATTTTCGAGGCCAATTCTTGCATTCTGTGACGAAACTGGTTGTAATCTCTCATACCCCGGGGCACCAGCCTCTACCTTTATGATCTTCTAGACTCTGGAATTCAGGAATGACTTAAGGCCACTTAAAACCACACCCTCCCTTGCCCTCACCTTCCATCTCCTCCCAGGGCACCATATGGCAATTGTTCTACATTCCCTCCAAGATTCCTCCTCCCAAGCCTAGGCCCATATGAATTTTCACTTAGCTCCAGAATCCCCCTTCAGCCATGTATCCCCCAACCAGGTAAGCACTCAGTGGCTCACTTCTGCTGAGTCCTGCGGCGTCGGCATCAACCCTGTTCCCCAGGCCTTCCTTGGTCATGCACCAACCTCCCATCTGAGGCACTCTGGTGCACAGCTCATATTTTGCATTCCCTTCCCTGTGGGCTAGGGCAGTGTTTCTCCCACTTTACAAACTCAGGCTCCCTTTTAATAAGCCTAAGGCCCTCCCCTGCTGCACCATGGAAATGAGCGATGTAGTCTGTACAGGTCTGTGTTGTAACCTCCTCTGCCTCCCTTGCAGGCACCCCTGTTGCTCCTTCCCAAGCCCCTGCTTCCCACCACACCAGTCAAGGCTGCACTCCCCTGGGGCTCTGTAGTTTTTTTTGTAGCATGTACCATAGTCGTGCTTAAATAATTATTGAACTACTTGTGATGAGTTGTTTAATGTGTCTGCTGCATCACAACATCAGCTTTGTGAAGTCAGGGGTTCAGTTTTGTTCGCCTTCGTATCCCCAGCACCTGGCCTACCTATTCCAAGCAAAATCCAGCTCCCTAAAAATACCCTCCTACAACCTGTCAATAAGCTGAAGTTATTCATTGCTTACTGTGGTCTGGGAGAGCCCTGCCCTGATAGTCTGAATAGCAGCATCTCAGATGGGGCATCCAAGTCGGGGTACTTATGAGGCTTTGGGGTTGGGTTTTAGAGGCTGTTCAGTGCAGCAGGGGAGGGGTTTATAGTATGAGGATTGGTGGATGCGGTAATGTGAGGGTTTTGAGGCAAGGGATTCAAAGAACCTTGAGGTATAAATAGTCACTGATGCTATCTATTGAAAAGTCTCATCGTTTAATGATCATTTGAATGAATTCTTCCAGAAAGTTCCTGAAACAAACAAAGTTATTTGCAGCTTTTATTTTCCTGGACAAGTGTTTCATGTAAGAGCAAAGTCACGTTAATGTAGACAGTAAGCTTCAAGGGTGCAGATGATTTGCGTTCTCAGAGTGAACAATTCCAGATGTTGCCCAATCTCCCAAACTCCTAGAACTGCATGTGTGAAGTTTCAGGATGGCCAACGCCTGCCAGGTCGTGCATTATTTCTGAGCAGCCCCAAGGAAGGCTTGCATTTGAGTGTGAACCTCTGCTTCTCGTGCCCCTTCTGTCCTGTCCTGTCCCATCCCATAAGAGGGCCCTTTCTCTCAGCTGCAGTGTAGACAGTACTCTGGTACTGACGTCCCTGAAATGCTACTAAGCCAGTAAGGAAAGCTGGGTGGGTGTGGAGATGGAGAGCACAACTTGGAGCTGAGTGTGTGGGGGATGTGGCTGCTCTGAGGCTTCCCCGTCAAGCGTCTCTGCCATGATGTAGCCACACCACGCATCACTGTTCAGCCTCCTCCTTAGCACCAGGGCCTACACTTTCTCGCAGCCTAGGCTGATATAATAATAACCTTAGACAAATTTAACAGAGTTTAACTGAGCAAAGAACGATTCACAAGTTGGGCAGCTGCTGAACCAGGAGGAGTTCACAGAGGCCCTGGCACTGCCCTGTGATCAAAGATTATTCATAGACAGAAAACGGAAAGTGATGTACAGAAAACAGAAGTGAGGTATAGGAACAGCCGGATTGGTTACAGCCTGGTGTTCGCCTTATTTGATCCTGGTTTGAACAGTTGGTTGCCTTTGATTGACCAAAACTCAGGGATTGGCATAAGAGTAGGCTACAGTTCATTTACATATCCAGTTTGGTTGCAGTTCATATGTACAGAGAAACCTTTAGGCCAAACCTAAAATATGTTGGGAGGTAGATTTAGGTGAAGCTTAACAAGGCCTCCCTATCTCACTCTCCCCATCACAAAAGCAAAACAAGAACTCCTGAGATCTTCAGATCGAGCAGAGCGATTTTGCTCCTTTTAGTCTTCTCTCATC
Source organism: Homo sapiens (assembly GCF_000001405.40). Classification (NCBI taxonomy): domain Eukaryota; kingdom Metazoa; phylum Chordata; class Mammalia; order Primates; family Hominidae; genus Homo; species Homo sapiens. Next base: position 228,786,475 of record NC_000001.11, read on the forward strand.
TCTAATCTTCTGCAAAAACAAAATGTCCATTGACGTATTTCCCCAAAGAAAAAATAGTTCCCTCTCTAAAAGGAATTCTATTGTTATCTTAGACAGCAAACAATTCATTTTCCCCACCCCACCTGCATAAATAGAAATTCCATCAGTGGTTGAAAATATTAGGTTGAATCATATGAAATACTCATTTTGTCAGTCAGAAATAGTCAAATAGCAACAATCTCATATCCCCTAGAGTAAAAAATATGTAAAATACTAAGATAATGAATTAATTTGATTATTCTAGGGAATTGTATTCCTATGACTGAACCCAAAGAATTCTAGCAATAAGACTGAAAATAATTTTTTATTGCTGTCAGTAAAAACCATAAGGACAAGGAATAATTTCATTACCCAGAAAGATGGTGTAATAACTGAAACTAATTATGGAGGAAGCTGGTTATATTTCACCCACTGGCATCTCAGTGGGGAACTGTCTGTACTGGGAAATCAAACTGGAGTTGAAAACTGGTATCTGATTTCTACTTTAACCAGGGTTCATGGTGTCAGTTGGAAAGGCAGGCAGGGACTGAATCAAATTTGCAGATCCCCAGGTCAGAGGCAGAATGATAGCCTAACAGAGACAGAGGACTTCCTATGAGCCCCAGTCCTGGACGGTGTTCTAAGTGCCTTGCCGGTAGTATTTATACTCCCTGAGGAAACAGGCACTGAGCAATAAAATGATTTGCTTGGGGTCCCACAACAATAGACAGTGGAGCCTTCTAGCTGCAGGTCCCAGGCTCTTAGACACCATGCTCAACTGCTCTGTTCTTTCAGGGCACCCCACAAAGACACTTGCCCCGAAGGCCAGGGGGGAGAGGGGAATGGTAGTGAGAAAAAAAGGTATTCAGTATTAAGGAAAGAAATGATTTTCACAGTTACCTTTGAAATGGTAATTGGAAAATCTGACCAAGGATGTTGGTCAGATCAACACCCTTGCAGATGGAGCAGGCAGGAGGTTGCACTCTAGCAAGCATGGGGTAGGGTCAGCGAGTTCTTGATCATGCCATGAGAAACTGGCATGGCACTCAGCTGCCATCTGGGGTAGACATGCCCCACTCCTTGGGAACCCAGATCTAGACAACTGCCAACTTTTTCAGAGAATTATGCAGTCTCCTTTTTACGTAGGATGTGTTTTACTGTAATGTACATCCTATTTCCTCTTAGAGATGATCTGCCTGCTTCAGTCCCATTCTCCTCTTAGTATTCTTTTTCATTCTGGGATATGAATAAGAAATTGGATTTAGGCACCAAAGTTCTCACTTGTAGCCCTAATCCTACCAACTATTCCTGGTGCTAGCTTTGAAGCATTCTTTCGGAGCATCAACAGAGGCTCAAATTTCTCCAATCCTAAGTACAACAGCACAGAAATGTCCGCTGTTGCTACTGTTTTATTTGTGGTCTTACCTTCTCTACCAGCATTGAGAACAATGAATCTGTCCTTGCTCTCCCCTCTTCATCACCTCCAGCTCAAGACCCATCTACCCACAGTGCACTCAGTCACGACACTCAACCTTGCTTGTCCAACGTCACCAGTGAGCTCCCTTTGGCCAGTCCAGGGGACGCCTCTCAGTCCTCTCTTCCACATTTGGCCTTGTCATTCACTCCTCTACCCTGGCTTCTGACATGGCTTCCATCTCTGCTTCTACATTTCTGGCCATTTCTCCCTGGCCTTGAGTGTGGCATGAGCTCTCCTCACTGTACTGTCTCATGGGGCGGTGGTGCCCATTCTCAGTTTAAATTTCCATCTCGGATCTATCTTCTCTGAGTTTCATACTCACATTTCTAGCTGTGCCTCTTAAATGTCTCATAGACCTGTCAAATGCAACATGTTCAAAACCCAAGTCACCATTTTCCCAAGATCCGCTCCTCCTTCGATATTACCTGCCTCTGTCAAAGATGTCCCCAGACCATAAACTCAGGTCATCTAGAACCATTCCTTTTTTTTTTAATTCTCACATTCACTCTTCACCTCCTAAATATTTTCCAGTCCAATTCCATCCCTTTCTCCCACCCTCCTGCTCCTGCCATCTCTCTCCTGTCTAGGGTATTTAGCCTCTTGACTGATCTATCTCTTGTTTTACTCTGTTCAACTCCATTTTCCCAATAGTTATCTGAGTGATGATGGCTGTATCTTAAATAAAATCTGCCAAGTCACACCCTTGCTGAAGCCCTAATATTGTTCCCGAGCAAACTTTTTACTGTGACAGCCCTGCCTGGTGCCGACTTCCCTGCTCAGCTGCCCTCTGTCCTCTGTGCTCCGCTGTGCTGCAGGCAGTTACCGCCATTTCCACAGCGCTCTAATGGGGCCCGCTCTCATCCTTTTGCTCTGGACTTTGTGTCTTGGGCGCCATGTGTTCTCAGGCCCTCATTGTCAAGTCATCTCCCTGGTCTTTTAGGTTGTGTCCTGGAGTCTCCTTGTCCAGGGCAGATTCTCCACTGCTCCCCCATCCTTCATCCACTCTTCAGCCCCACTGCCCAGCACAGCCTGTCTCACAGCTCCTGTTGCTCAGTGGCCAAATGATCTATTTACGAGTGTGTCTTTTTCCGACTGGACTACAGATACCAGCCGGACAGGGGATCTTGTCCTATTTATCCTTGCATTCTCAGTACTTTGAGTATAGTTGACCCTTGAACAACATGCAGGTTATGGCGGCCGACCCTCAGCACAGTCCCAGTACAATTTTTGATTCCCCAGAATTTTCATGACTAATAGCCTACTGCTGACCAAAGCCCTACCAATAACATAAACAGTTGACCAATTCATATATTTATGCATTCATGACATGCCTAACTTTTTCTTATTTTTTGCAATGCTTCTCTTTTTAGTGTTTTAAAAAAATTCTTAAATTATTTTTTATTTTTAAATTTTTTTCTCTTGTCTACTTTTGCAATGTTTCTTTCTTTCTTTTTTGAGATGGCATCTCGTTCTGTCATCCAGGCTGGAGTGCAGTGCTGCGATCTCAGCTCACAGCAACCTCCACCTCCTGAGTTCAAACAATTCTTGTGCCCCAGCCTCTCGAGTAGCTGGGATTACAGGCGGGTGCCACCACGCCCAGCTAGTTTTTGTATTTCTAGTAGAGACAGGGTTTCACCATGTTGGCTGTGCTGCCCTCGAACTCCTGACCTCAAGTGATTTGCCCGCCTCAACCTCCCAAAGTGCTGGGATTACAGGCCTGAGCCACCATGGCCAGTCATATTTTTGCAGTGTTTCTAGGCTACACGTTTTGTCTGCAAGTTCTTCCAAATTGTCAAAAATCTCCAAATAATTTTCCAATTACTTATTGGAAAAAATCCTCATATAAGTGAACCCACACAGTTCAAACCCGTGTTGTTCAAGGGTCACCTGTACTTAGTAGACCTTCACTGTACCTTTATCAAGCTGTTGCTGAAGTGGACGATGTCCTTGGCAAGTCACCTACTTCTGAGCTTTGGCATATTACATATCAGGTGGGGATAACAGGACCGGCCCAGCTTATTCACAGGTTAGTGGGAAGATCATGTTAAATGACATGTGCAAAAGCCCTCCATAAGCTATTTGACTTTATGCAATTATAAGATGAAATCACCACTTTCAGCCTCTGAGGCAGTGTTTCCCTCCTCAGTTCTTCAATTCTTCCAAAACACAGTAAGGTGAGGTTCCCCTCCTGCTGGGGCGAAGGTAGACTGGGATGGTAAAGGAGGGGCACACTCCATTTGGCCCCTGGGATTCTTCTTCAGCCCCACTAGGCAGGTATACATCTCACAGAGTGAGTACCTGTGAGCCTTGGTTGCTGACAAAGAAAATCTGCACAATCCAGGGAGAGGTCTTTGACTTTTTTCCCTCCAAAGGGAAGCTGAAGAGGCCTGCTGAGAGGAGCTGAGCAGCTCCAGCTGGGGGTCCACACAAAGTCCTTAGTGCTGGCCATGCGGTGTCATTCTCCCTCCGGAAACTTAACCTGCATGATGGAGATTCTGGACACATTCGCATAGTGTTGCATTGGCAGGGTGTGGTTTGCTGCTGTGGTCACACTTTGGGGAGGTTGTCGCTGTCTGTGTCTCTATGCTTTAGAGTTCGGGAGAGAAAGGACATCTGTGTCCAGGTGGTCCAGAGGTCGGGGGCTGCATGGCTGGAGAAAGCTGGGGTGGTTTCTGAGGGTGTGCACTGGCCTCTGCCGTGCCTTTTATCCCATCAGTGAGCCATGAGATAGCTGATTATGGCTCTTGACATCTTCCAAGAAGGCTTAGTGCCCAAGTTATGCCAAGACCTCTGTGGGCATAAAAACACACACAACTCTGGCCTGCTCAACTCCCTGCGAGGCAGAGCTGGCAGGAGGAAGATGAGGGGTGGACCAGAGAGCAAAAGACAAATGACCAGCCCAGGCACCGGGCCGTGCAGCCTGTTGGCCGCAGACCTTATCTGTTTTGGGGGAAGTTTCTGCAGTAGTGGGGATATGAAAATGTGTGAATGTAGGAATGGTTATCTAGGCCTAGGCAGTGGTGGAAAAGCATCATTGTTCTAAGGCAACATTAGAGACTCAAGAGAAGACTTGGGTGGGGGCAGGAGAAATTATGCTCAAAATGAAGCTAGGAAATGAGGCCCAGGCCACGGAAAATTGATTAGGCTAATCAGATCAGTAGAACTAAAATTAGAAGAGGAACAGAAGAAAAGTCCTTTGACCAGACAGGATTAGATGGGTTACCTAAAGTGGCAATGACAGTCATCTGTAAGTCTACATCCTGTTCTTAGATGCCAAAGCAGACCCAATGTTAGGACCGTGTGTGAGTGTGAGTGTGTGTGTGTGTGTGTGTGTGTGTGTGTGTGTGTGTAGTAGGGGTCTGTAGAGTAGCGAGATGGGAACCCAAAGAAAAGAGAAGCCCCCTTCCTCTGGAGCTCCTAATCTGGTCAGAAAACAGAGAAACACTTGTTTACTGAATAGATGTATGAAAAAAGCTCTTTTATTTATTTATTTATTTATTTATTTATTTATTTAGACGGAGTCTTGCACCTGTTGCCCAGGCTGGAGTGCAATGGCACGATCTCTGCTCACTGCAACCTCTGCCTCCCAGGTTCAAGCAATTCTCCTGCCTCAGCCTCCCAAGTAGCTGGGATTACAGGCACCTGCCACCACGCCTGGCTAATTTTTTTGTATTTTTAGTAGAGACAGCGTTTCACTGTGTTGGCGAGGCTGGCCTTGAACTCCTGACCTCATGATCTGCCTGCCTCGGCCTCCCAAAGTGCTGGGATTACAGGCATGAGCTACCATGCCTGGCTGAAAAAAGCTCTTTATAAAGTAGCACAAACACGCAATTTAATATTTGTGTGCATGAGGAATCTGTAACTACCAAAGAGAGGAAAGATACTCAAGCAATTCAGGTTCACTTAAATCCACTTTGTTTTCCTTTTGGCTCCATCTCCATCCATTCCCCTCTCTGGTGGCTGTGTCCTCACCTCTGTCCCCCAGCCTTGTCACTTGCTAGGATAAGGCACAGGGCCTCACTGGACTTTGTCTGCTCAGCTGTAAGTTAAGGGTGGTGAGAGCTGAAAATCTTCCAGCTCTGATGATCTGAGACCCACACTCGCTTTCTTCATTGACCTTCTGTTGGTCTATTTGGCATTATCCCTGATGTTCAGCCCTGGACAAATTGCAGGAATAATTTGCTCCCTGCTCGCTTGTTTAGCTGCCAGTAAAAGCTATGAAAACCTTTCTACCTGAGAGTGAAAAGTTCGTGAATTGGAGCTCTTGGGGAAGCATTGAGCCGTTGAGGCCTGTCTAACAAATAACATGCTCTCTTTCTTTCTGTTCTTAGTTGTCATCTTTGCTTATATCATATTCATTCATTTGACAAATATTTATTGAAGTGTTCACAATAAGTATTTTGAAGTGTTTGCAATGTGCCAGGTTCCACACCAACTACTAGGAGTTTGAAAGTTTATAAGAAACTATCACTGTTGTCAAGAAGCCCATTGTTTAGTGGGGCATATGGATGTGGAAATCACTACCCCTGCAGAGTGTGATAAGTGATTGGGGGTGACTGCAAACACAGGAACTCAGAAATGGAGATGAACCAGAAGGCCCTCAGCGGGGATACAAGGAAGGAGTGGCATGGGAGTGGAGTTCTGAGAGATGAGCAATAATGTGCGGGTGGGAAAGGTAAGGAGGTGGATATACGCTACGGTATAAAAGTGCTTGCAAGTTGCTGGGCAGGGGTTCAATGTAAGAGCAGGAATCAGCAACAGACTAGGTTGAAGAGAGGAGAGGGTTGGTGTGTGTCAAGGACTTTGAGTGCCCTGCTCAGGAGTTCAGATTTCATCCTAGAAGCAACAGGACACCACCAACAATTTCAATGCACTTGAATTTTGGCAGCTGTGTTGGAAGTGACTGATGTGGGAAGAGGCTGTAAAGGGGGGTGAGGGGGTGGCCTTTGGAGGTCTTTGAGTGCCCCAGGCAGGAGACAGGAAGAGACAATGGAAATGGGGCAGCAGAGGCCAAGGACAGAAAATAGGAGCTCCCTTTAACCTAGAATCTGCTAAGCAGGGTGGGTTAAAGGAGAGGTAAGAGAAAGAATAACTTTGAGGTTTCTAATGTGAACAGCTGAGTAAAAGGAAAAAGGAATTGTAGCAGTGGATGTTACCCCAACTGACATCTTAGAGTGCCCCATAAGAAGACCCTGGAGGCTTTGTCTCTGCAGAACATTTTTGTGCACTGTTTCCTTCCTGCACAGCCCTCCCTGGTGGCCTGGTTTGGTGTCTTGGTTGTGGTCTCCTGTCTGGTTTCTGCATCTATGCCGAGGCCTTTCAAAGAAAAGTTTAATCTGAACAATCCCATGACATTGGCACTGGGTGCTCTTGACTCCAAGGCCTTCGGCTTCTGCTCTGCTTCATCCTACTCTTCTTGTTTCCTACCTTGGCTTCCAGAACTCTAGCCCAGGGGCCCTTCTTGTCCAGATTAATAGGGAGGGAAGAAGAGGAGAAAACTGTTTTTGACATGTTAGGCTAAAAGTGTCTGTGGGACATCCGTGCAGAGATTTCCAGTGGGCAGGTAGGAAAGAGTTCAGAGGAGAGGAAGGAACCATGTTTAGAAGCCGAAGACATAGAAGAATGACCAAAATTACTCAAAAAGACCATACATGGGAGAGCTAAAAGAGAAGGAAAACTGAAAATTGACCTATAGGCAATGCCATTTGAGGTGGATATGACATGAAATTCCAGGGAAGAAGAATGAGGAAAGACAATCACAAAAATCACAGTGGACAAAACGGGGAATGTGTGCTAGAGTCAGAGGAGGATTTTTGAAGAAGAAGGAGGAGGAATGAACATCTGTATAAAATTGTTGCACAGAAGTGATTTTATTTAAACATTAAACATTAAAACATTTACTAGCCTTCCACTATATGACAATTGCTATACCAGGAATAGGGTTATCAGAAGTAAATCAGGTTCAGTCCCTGCCTGTAAGGATCCTCCAGTCTAGTAGAAGATAAAAACATAAATAGACAAGTGGAATAAATTGTAGGTTACACAGAGAACTAAAAATCAAACATATTGAACAGGTGGGAACAGACTTCCATGGCTTCAGAAAGGTGATGACTTTCAAGACCAGACAGGAGCTATGTGCAGGTGTCCACAAGGTGAACCATCGGAGAGTTTCAGAGAGAGGAAGGACTAGGAGCTCCCACAGAGCTGGTAGAGTAAGTATGGCCAAGGATGAAGGATGAAGTAAGGGGCAGAGAGAGACATGAGTTTGAAGAATGTTCATGGTTCAGACTACTGAGGGCTTTGTAGTTTGGAGCAACAGGATTTTTGCTCATTTGTGAGTTTCCTGTGCCAAACCACAAATGGAGTGACTCAAAACAAGAGAAATTTATTTTCTCACAATTCTGAAAGTCAAAAGTCTTAAATCCAGGTGTGAGCAGGGCTGCACAGCCTCTAGGGGCTCTAGGGAAGAATCTGTTTGTAGCCTTTTCCATCTTCTGGTGGTTGTTGGCTTGTGGCCACAACACTTCAAACTATCCCTCTGTGGTGACATCGCCTCCTTCTTTCACTGTGATCTCCCCCTTCCTCCCTCTTATAAAGATACTTGTGATGGCATTTAGGGCCATGGTTCAAGCTTATCTCCACATCTCAAGATTCTTAACTCATTTGCAAAACCCCTTTTTCCATATAAGCTCACATTTATAGGCTTCAGGGATTAGGACCTGCATATATTTGGGGGCTGTAATTCAGCTTGCTACAGTCAGGGTTGGCAATTAGTTATACCTTCCTGGGAGTAAAAGACAGAATGGATTGGAGAGACCCATACTGGAGTCAAGAACATCATCACTTTGGAGATTACAGAAGACATACAGGTTAAGAGGTGACTGAGACCTGAACTAAGAGAGCAGTGGAGGTGGGGATGGGAGTGAGATCTCAGTGGAAAAGTGTCAGTAGGGTTGGGTGGTTCTCAGTGTCTCAGTGGGGTCCTGGGGACAGAAGCCCAATCACACATATCGAAAGCGACAGCAGATTTCACTTCTTTTCAGTCATCTACCGGGTACTGAGCTAGTTGTCAAAGGCAATGATAAGCCAGCATGTGTCTGATAGCGTGGGAAGGAGCTCTGAAAACAGGACCAGAAAGGAAACGGAGGTGGGGAAACAGATTCTCTAATTCCTGAGCATCTTTGAAGAAATCCACTGTAGGCTGTGTCATTCTGTCTCTCTCCCACTGCAACCAGAAACCATCTAGTAGGGTGGTGGAAGATATTAATTGACTAAAAATCCTTTGAAATTTTGAGGCATAAAAAATTCCATCTAAGAAATTTGCTTATAAATAGGCCCTGAAATAGGCAATCTAGATCCCAAAGCCACTTGCAAGGTAGGAATGGAGGAACGGCCTTCTGCAAGCTCTGTTTTTTCTGCAGTCAGGTGACTTGGACTCACCAAGACCTCCAGCCAGTGCCACAGGCCAGGACCCCCACCCCTCAAGATACCCTAAAGGTCCAGGGATCCCTAGACAGTACGGGAGTGCAATACCAGACTGCTAGCTTCAAGGGACTCAAGCAGTAACCTTGGGGCCTGATAATGCCAGGTCATTTGCACCTAAAATCGTATAGCATTGCATCTCCATCACATACAGGCACAGGATAGCTGAGTTTCTACAGGTTCATCGGCTTTTGTGTACCAAAGGGGTCATATGAATGGCAATTTGGTTGTATCTAGTCCTCGTCTTCTGCTCCTGCCTCCCGAATGATGCTGCCTCCTAGGAATGCTGCCTCCCCTGTCCTGGCTGCCAACTGGCCAGTGCGCTGGGTGAAGCTGCTGTTCTCCCAAACAGGCTGGCTCCTCCTCTGCACTGTCTGCCTCAGGCCCTGAGTGCCAGGGTAGGCTCTGTTTTGTGCAGGAGCCTTCACTCTGTGTCTCCTGGCACCAAAGCCACATCTGGTGAAACTTGGTGGCTTCTCTCCCTGCCTGTAGCCCTTCTCCATGTGGGGCTGAGATCTAAGTCCAGGGCCCAGAGCTGGAGGACCAGTGTCTGAACAGGCGCCAGGGTTCCTCCCCATCCCATCCCCCAACCTGTTGTTAGGGGGTGCAAATTCCTCTTCCCCCCATCCTCCATACTCTTCTTCACTAGAAAAATGCCCTAATGCAAACTGGTTTCTATGAGGCCCCCCTTAGTTTTGACTGATTCCAAGGCAAGTGCTATCCATTATGCATTCTAAAAATTTTTATGTGAGCTCTTCCTATTTGTCAGCCAGTGTACTAGCTAGCAAAGCTAACAAGTAACAAAAGTGTACTAACAAAACAGACTTGAAGCATAAAAATATGCCTTGGTGGCTGGGAGCAGTGGCTCACGCCTGTAATCCCAGCACTTTGGGAGTCCGAGGCGGGTGGATCACAAGGTCAGGAGTTCGAGACCAGCCTGGCCAATATGGAGAAACCCCCATCTCTACTAAAAAATACAAAGAAATTAGCCGGGTGTGGCGGTGCATGCCTGTAATCCCAGCTACTCGGGAGACTGAGGCAGGGGAATTGCTTGAGCCCGGGAGGCAGAGGTTGCAGTGAACAGAGATCGTGCCACTGCACTCCAGCCTGGGTGACAGAGGGAGACTCCGTCTCAAAAAAAAAGAAGAAAGAAATATGCCTTGGGTGTTCCAATGCACGTGCACTTTCACTGATGAACTTATGAACTTATTCATAACTGTGTGCACTACTATGCTAGCTACAGGAGACGATCTTTGCATGTGGGCCTATATTTGTAAATGAGTTGTTATCTATTTTTTAAAAAATAGGTCTAGAAAGGAAAAATTCTTATTTCTCCCTCTACTTACTTTCTTAGGAACTAAAGTGCTTGATTTAGTGCTTGATTTCTCTTTTTTTAAAAAATTTTTTTGTGAGACAGAGTCTTGCTCTGTCGCCCAGGCTGGAGTGCACTGGCACGATCTCGGCTCATTGCAACCTCCGCCTCCTGGGTTCAAGTGATTCTCCTGCTTCAACCGCCTGAGCAGCTGGGATTACAGACGTGCATCACCACGCCCAGCTAATTTTTCTATTTTTAGTAGAGACGGGGTTTCATCATATTGGCCAGGCTGGTCTCGAACTCCTGACCTCAGGCCTCCCAAAGTGCTGGGATTACAGGCGTGAGCAACTGTGCCTGGCCTGTCTTGTTTTAAGTTACCCCATTTGTGGTTTGGCACAGGAAACTCATAAATGAACAAAAACCCTGTTGCTCCAAACTATAAAGCCCTCAGTAGTCTGAACCATGAACATTCTTCAAACTCACATCTCTCTCTGCCCCTTACTTCATCCTCACCCATGGCCATACTTACGTTGCCAGCTCTCTGCTTTCTGTAACCCCTCTGTTCTTTTTGAAGATAGGGAAGGACACCAACCTTGCCAACCATTCAGAAAGGGAATTTGGTAAAATATCATTTTAAAGATGTAATCTTATTATAAAAATGTAAAAATTATAGGGTAATTTTTAAGGTCTCTTTTTGTTATAAATATGAATCAATCATAAACCTGTGTCATGGGCATTTGGAGCTGAGCCTGGCTGCTGAGACTGCATGATCCAACACACAGAGCTGACAGGTGAGCTAGCTGGGGCTGTGCACATACCTGCAGGCAGACCCACATATATCCATGTGAGTCTGTGTACATGGACATGCATATATGTGTACACCAATACACACAGACTCTTGGTTACACAGATATACATACCCGTATCTGTAGATAAAGTTTTCACTAACCTGGTAGTGTTTTAGTGTGGAGTGAGAGGCTCATTTTGTAAAATAATAACCTTTTGTAGGAACAGCTCCAAGAAGAGGGAGATCCACAAATTAAAAGTGCTGTGTGTGAGCGTGTGGCTGCAGGGAGACATGTGTGAGAGACAGAGAAGGTATGGACAGGTGAGCCAGATAAAGTTAACCCCAGGCCAAGGAGGAGCAAGGTGGAAAATCAAAGGGGATTGTGCAGCCACCTCTGTGAGCAGAGACTGTCAGGACAGAGGAGGAACTTGCAGGGGACACTGATGGGCTGTTTATTCCCGTAGCATGAATTATATGAGACTTAGACCTCAGCAGCAAGGAAACAAAAGGTCAAATAACAGAATGCGGATTATGGGAAAGAGTGGAGTGCAGGCCTGTGGGAGTGAGTCTGTCTGGTCCATAGGGCCAAGGCTCAATACAGGCCTACCTGACTTGAAGGAGCCCAAGCTAGTGAGTTGGCTGTGGCCAGGCAGAGCCAGCCTGCACTCCAAGGCAGGCAGGGAGAAGCATGACCTCCAGCTTTGACGTCAGGCAGGGGTCTCAGCCTTCCCAGCTGGGGTGATGAAAGAATGACTAAGCTTTCTTTAAAAGAGAAATCAATGGAGGACTTTAGAGCTGGATGTCCATTCTACCATGTTGCACTGATTTCTGAGATTCTATTTTATTTTGTAGCTTTTTAAAAAATTAACATTTGCTCATTAAAAAAAGGCAAAGATACCCACTCTTATAGTCCGTGTTGACTTTGTGGACCTTACCTAAGGAATTGTACCTACCACCCTCAACCCCTCCAATGCATACCCCCTACGCACACACTCCCTGCCTTTCAATTGTACACGCAGCACACAGCTCCTGCCCTTGGCTCCCCTGGCCTGTCCTCTCTTCTCCTGTGGCGTGGTATCCAAACATACACTTAGTTTACTGCGTAAAAGGCAAGCTCCCATTTAGGGGTTGGCAAACTTTTTCTGTAAAGGGCCAGATAGTAAATGCGTTAGGCTTTGTGGGCCATGTGGTTTCTGTCTCAACTTCCCAACTCTGCTGTTGCAGCTTGAAAGCAGCTGTAGACAATAGGCAAAGGAATGAGCTTGGTGGTGTTCCAATAAAACTTCACTTAAGGACACTTAAACTTAGACTTCACATGATTTTCACATCCTGAAATATTCTTCCTTTGACTTTTTTTCTTCAACTATTAAATATATAAAAAACATTCTCGGTTGATGCACCATACCAAAATAGAAGGTGGGCCAGATTCAGCCCGTGGATTTGGCCCAACCCCTGCTCTATTTTATCATAGTATGAAAAATCTCAAGGTGGCTGGGCATGGTGGCTTACACCTGTAGTCCCAGCAGTTTGAAGTGAGACTCTCTCCACCAAAAAAAAAAAAAAAAAAAAAAAAAAAAAAAAAATATATATATATATATATATATATATATATATATATATATATTAGCCAGGTGTGGTGGCACATGCTTGTAGTCTCAAACACTCAGGAGACTGAGGCAGGAGGACCACTTGAGCCCAGGAGTTTGAGGCTGTAGTGAGCTATGTTCGCACCACTGTACTCCAGTCTGGGTGACAAAGCAAGAACCTGTCTCTTAGAAAAAATAAAAATAAGAACATTAAAAAATAAAAATTCCAAGGTGATAAACCTCACGGTGGTCAGGAAAGTTTCAGGTAAATGACAAAATTATACCCCTTCAGCTTAGCAGGCAGGTTTGAACTCTCTTTATAAGTTCTTCTTATTCTTTCTTTTTATCCCTCTCCCTTGCTTCCTCCCTTTCTCTTCTCCTTAATGTTTCAAATTTATGCTTCCTTATCCTGGAATCCTTTCTTTTGGTCTATCTTCCAGGCACTGAGCCTGGGTTAATTTCCACAAGATGCTGGCCTGGCTGAGGACAGTTTCATCTCTTTCATCTTACCTGGCAGTCTTCTTTCTACACATCTCTGTCACCCTCTCCTTCTGCTATCTAATTTGCTGTTAGTGAACTCTGGGATCATCACAAAATTATATGTGCAAAGCTCCCATTTTGTTGAGGGCATCTCCCTATAGTTTCCATCCTCTTGAATTTGGAAGATTAAATTGGGGAGCTCAATGAGATAGAAGGCAGGGAGGATAATGGTATTAGATGTTGGACTCAGTGAAGTACAGTAGTCCCTTCTTATCCATAGTTTGCTTTCCCTGGGGATATGGTTTGGATTTGTGTCCCCACCCAAATCTCATGTCAAATTGTGACCCCCAGTTTTGGAGGTGGGGTCTCGTGGGAGTTGACTGGATCATGGGGGTGAATTTCCTCCTTGCTGTTCTTATGATAGTGAGGGAGTTCTCACGAGATCTGGTTGTTTAAAAGTGTGTGTGTTGTACTTCCCCTCTTTCTCTCTTCCTCCCACTTCAGCCATGTAAGACGTGCTGGCTTCCCCTTTGCCTTCTGCAGTGATTGTAAGTTTTTGGAGGCCTCCCCAGTCATGCTTCCTGTACAGCCTGTGGAACTGTGAGCCAATTAAACCTCTTTTCTTTATAAACTACCCTGTCTCTGGTATTTCTTTATAGCAGTGTGAGAATGGACTAATATACATGGTTTCTGTAACCCATGGTCAACCTTGGTCCAAAAATAGACGAGCAAAATATAATGAGATATTTCGAAAGAGAGAGAGAGAACACATTCACACAACTTTTGTTACAGTGTATTGTCATAATTGTTCCTCTTCTTCTTGTTGCCAATCTCTTACAGTGCCTAATTTATAAATTAAATTTTATCATATATATGTAGTATATAGGGTTTGGTACTATCCGAGGTTTTGGGCATTCACTTGGGGTCTTGGAATGTATTCTCCATAAATTAGTTGAGTGGGGGGGCAACTGTATCTTGAATGTAGCTCTTGATTTACATCATCCAGGTAACATCACAGAAGAAGATGGGACTTTTCCAGCTACAAAGGTGTTTATGATACCGAAATAAAGTCCAGGAGTCCCAGGGAAAATTCCAGGATTTTATCATGTCTTCCTGCATAATAACTTTGTCCTCCCCTAGTGAGCCCTGGCTCAGCAAATGACACCCATATCCACCCAGTTGTTCAAGCCAGAACACTGGTTGGAAGTTATGTTGATTCACCTTATTCACAGTAGTTATGTTCTATAAAGTCACCATGAACACTGAATTAGTGAATACCAAACCATTGCTCCTAGAGGAAATAAAGGGTTAAGTTCCTGTGTGCAACTAATCACAATTTTATCAACTGATCAATACATAACCTTGCTGTGTATTTGTTTCTGTCTAAAGATACCTTATTCAATACACATTGTTGATTCATTAACACTGAACTCACTGCACTATAATCAACACCTGAACAAAGCTTAACACTGGTATTTTCTTCATAGAGAAATCATAGCCTTTCTGCAGCTCTGAACAAAAGGCAGCATTTCAGCTCTGTTCTGAGAGGCCATTTAAAACAGCAAAATCACCAATAAAAAGCACAAAAAGGCAAAAGATGTATTGTGTAACTAAATAGACCTTGAAAAGGATACTTGATGCAGTGTGACAGCTGAAACAAGCAGGCAGGGTGCCACCTTGTTCCACCTCAGCTAGGAATGTGTGCATTGAGCAACTCAAATTTTTCAGGGCTCTGTGCATTTCTGCAAATGACCATGAAAGCACCATGAGTATTAATTTTAGGGTTACAAACAAATTGTAGTGAGTAGGTAAATTTGCAAATATGGAATCCACAAATAAGGAAGATTGACCGTATATTTGACCCCATTCCCAGTCACCAGTTTAATCAGTTTTACATCCTTTATATCTTTAAAATTGGTCCACTTCTTTTTATCTATACCTTCCACACCTCAGTCCATCCCAACAAACCACTTCTTCTGGATTAACAGGTTGCAGTCAGCCCACATCAACTCCTGTACCTCTTTAGTCTATTTTTCACTGGTGGCAAAAGGGGAGGTTGGCAAAGAGGGCTGTGGAAAGAGATGGGGCAGTTGTTGAAGAGAGAGGAAATTTAGGTTAAAGAAGATTTTAAGGAAGTAGCCTCCTTTTCTCCTTTATCTTGTGTGTGTGTGTTCTTTGTGATAACCTGCTCAGACTAGTTGAAAGGAGAAGACTCAGTGTCACTTGAGTTATGTGTACAATATTAATCTATTTAACTGTCTCCATAACTCTATATGTAGATACTATTATTATGTCTTGTCTTAGTCAGCTCAGGCTGCTATAACAAACTAACATAAAATGGGTGGCTTAAATAAGAAACATTTATTGCTCACTGTTCTGGAGGCTGGGAAGTGGGAAGATCCAGGCACTGGCAGTTAATAATGTCTGGTGGGGGACTGCATCCTGGTGCGTAAATAGCCGCCTAGAGCTCCATTTGAGATTGTGTCAAATTCAGAGAAAAGCATTCAACCAGAACTCAGTGTAATGGACTGGGCTGGATGGAGTAAGCCAATGGCCCTTAGACATTAATGGAGCCTCGAACTCATTGTTTCATGTACAATAAAGGAAAACTTCAGATTTGATTGAACAAAGAACATTAGTTTCCTTATACCAACTTGGGAATCATTCTCAAAATGTGATATTTTGTTTAGTTATATGAATAAACATTATGTCTTCTGATGAAGGATGAACCTTAATATTTGGAGGGGAAAAAAGCTATCACACACTCTCACAACCCCCTACCAGCCTTTGGGCCTTGGGCTGAGGCCAAGGCAGCTGCCCTCAGGGCACAGCAGTGAGCCACTTGACCAGTTTATTCCCCCAGATAGGATTTTGTGCCTCTGGCTTTGAAGTGGAATAAGCACTTCCTATCTGACATGGAACTAGCAAACCAAGGGTCAGGCTTCGCCTGCTCAGAGGAATTAAAGTCGATTGAGAAACACAGCTCTGTTTCTTGCCAAGAGAATCTTGCCAAGAGAATCTTGTCAAGAAACAGCTTTGAAGCTTTCTTCCTCTATCAGAGCTGGAGACTTTGGTACATGGGGTTATCATCACTGCGGCAGCCAAAGCAGCCTCGCTTTGTCTCTAACCCTCGCATCCACACAGCAAAGAACACTTTGAACTGTGTTTTTTGCACGTCCGTGTGTGCCAAGATCTTGTGGGATCCCCTGTTTTTGAAACTAGGCCACTCTCCGATAAGGATGGAGACCTTGCTTCCCTGCTCCCACCAAACAGAGCTTTCTATTGCTGAGTTACAGTGAATACAAGGCGATTAAAACTACAAGCTAATTTATGCTCTCTTGGGAGGAATTAAGGAGATGAAGCAACTGCTTTCTGGGGAGGAGAAGCGATGTGTATTTTTATCTTGCACCACCTTTCACTCTCTAGTTCTGCCTTGTTCTCCACAAATCTGTGTTAAGGCCTCAGCAGGTGCCAGGCACAGCCTCATGGAGACAAAAGCAGCTCCATCTTGGATGCTCATCCGCCATGTTGACTCCTGATTAACCCCAGTTCAGGGAAGGCCTCTGAGATTTTTACTTTCATGTACTTACCTTAACTCCTGCCCTTATGTCAAAACAACCTTGATGTTATTGTAAACACACATTTCCCATACATCCTGCCCTTAGACAAATTCTATATGGTACATAGCCCTGGGTCGTAGGGGTAACTGAGCAGGGATCCACCATCTTGTCTTGTGGCTGCCTGAGATGTGGCCTCTGTTCGTAAAGTCCCTATTAAGTGTTTCTTTCTGAGAAACTAGATTTGTCAGCCTCTGTTTTCAACTTTTCAGCTTCTTTGGACTTTGGGGATAGTTTTGCATAGACCTACTTAGCAGGGCACAGCGACCCAAAGTGTGGTCCTGGCAGCATGGGGGACCATCCAGGCCCTCACAGAGGACACCCTTCCTCCTGGCGGTCTGGCTGCGGCTGCTGGACCTGGTGTTAGGAGATGGCAGTTTAACACACAGCACCTTAACCATCCATGGCTTGCCTTTTCTTTCACAACTTGTCCTCAGGTACAGAGGTCTTCAGAACTTGGTTCCTTTCCAAAAGCAGAGCAGTGTTTTGACACAGGAAAACGCAAGGTCCTTTATGCCTGGAAGAAAGCAGCTTTCTCCTGCCTCCTCCTTGATGCGGTTCCCAGCCACCGCCCCCAGGATGCTCACTCCCTTTTATGAGCTGAGAGAGGCAGACCTTAGGGCCTCCTCCAATAGTTAATATACATTTTTTATATTTTTAAAAATTAACCTATCATAGTTGTACATATTTGAGGGGAAGCATGTGATATTTTGATACATGTATACAACGTGTAATGATGAAATCAGGGTGACTGAGATATCCATCACTTCAAACATTTATCTTTTCTTTGTGTTGGAAACATTATAATTCTCTTTTAGCTATTTTGAAATATACCATAAATCATGGTAAACTATAATTTCCCTACTGTACTATTGAATACTAGAACTCATTCCCTCTATTTAACTGTGTGTTTTTACCTGTTAACCAAGTTCTCTTCATCCTCCCCTCCCTTCTTCCCTTCCCAGCTTCTGGTAACCACCATTCTACTCTTAATCTCCATGAAGTTCACTTTTTTAGATTTCACATAAGAGAGAGAAACATGTGATATTTGTCTTTCTGTTCCTGGCTTATTTCACTTAAATAATGACCTTCAGTTCCATTCATGTTGCTGCAAATGACAGGATTCTGTTCTTTTTAATGGCTGAATAATATTCCATTGTGTATATCAAATATTTCATCTTAACATAAAGTAAGCTGAAGTAAAGATAACTACCCTCAATCAGAGTCTAGAAACATGGCGACTGAGATTTGGGGGTAAGGAGAGCAGTGGAGGGTGGAAAGGTGTTGAGGTACCCTGTGCTTTGCCCACAGCTGGGGCTACACAGGCTGCCTTCTCTCCTTCCTCCTTAGGGTCTAGCACAGTCCTACCTGGCCAGATGCAAGGTCACATTGCTAGCAGACACCCCCCTTCCTCCCTCTTTTCTTCCTCTTCTTCACCCCTCTCATTCTTCACCCTAGTAGCCACTGTGGGTGCCCAAGTCCTGCCTGGGTCCCTTGTCTCCACCTCAGGTGAGCTGGACCTGCTGTGGAGGTGAGCTGGACCTGCTGTGGAGGTGAGCTTTCCCGCTCTTTGGTAGGAAGGAGAAAGCACTGAGCAAGGAGCTGACTGATGGGCTTAGTTGCGAACATGCATGCTGGTCTCAGGCTAGTCTTTCTTTGTCTTCCTTTGCCTGTCCCTGTGAGCCAAGAGCCTTCACCACAGGTACTTGGGGTCAGCTGCAGGAGATTTCCTGGAACTCTGAACTTCTGGGTTTCAGTTTCTCTACCTGTCATATGAGAAGGAACCTGTTTGAGTCTCTCTCACAGCAGGCTGGTGTCTGCACGGAGGCTCTGAGGAGCTCATGGTCATGAAATCTGAGTGCCCCAAACCCACAGACGGAGACAGAGGCACCGCTTCCTGGAAGGCACAGTGAGAGCTGTTAAAATGCTAAACGACCAGGTCAAGCCTCCATATCCCTCGAGAGGCGTTTATGCATTTTACTGGAACACTCTGGCATGAAGCGTTCCCTGAAACAATTAAAAAGATAATGTACTCAGCCTGTGCTCTGTCTGTCTTTACTCTTTGTGCTTTTTCATGACGTTATCCATTCCCAGAACTCAGAGAGCCCCCTCTCCTCTTTCAGTTGACATTTGCTTGGCTGACTGACTCTCTTACTCGCTGTTTCCTTTCCTTTGGATGATTGACTTTTAGCATCATTTCAATGTCTATAACTAAATCAGCAAGGCTTCTAGGTCCAGCACTATAATTCTAAATTTCACTGCTACTACAAACATATCATGTCTGCCGACTGGACCAAGTGATTATAAGTCCCAATTAAACCCTAGGTTTTGCTTTTAAGCCAGTTTCAAGTCAGGCATTTATTCACAGTTGTCTGTAATATCAGGCACTGTGCTAGGCAAATGCGGCAGAAAGTGGCTGAGAAATGGTGCTCATTCTCCCAGAATTCAGAAGGTTTTGGTGAGACAGACAGATAATAGTTAATGAATTTAATGATGACAATGCAGTGATGATCAGTGACGAGCCGATGACTTGATAATGACAATCCATGTGATAAATACAATAGCAATGGTATCATAACGTGACGGGACAGTGAAGAGGAGAGAGTAGCCTAGGATAGGGCTGCACAGATGAGGTGATGTTTGCACCAGGCCTTAGAGGCTAAGGAATCTCAGCAGGGCAAGAAGAACTTCCAGAAAGGGGAGCATCCGTTCATTCATGGAACAAATATCTATGGGGAGTTTGCAGTGTTGCCTAAACAAAAATCAGGAAACCTGACGTGTGTGTTTTTGAAAAAAAATATTTATTACAGAAGTTTTTTGTTCTTTTTTTTTTTTTTTTTTTTTTTTTTTTGAGACGGAGTTTTGCTCTTGTTGCCCAGGATGGAGTGCACTGGTGGAATCTCAGCTCACTGTAACCTCTGCCTCCTGGGTTCAAGTGATTCTCCTGCCTCAGCCTCCTGAGTGGCTGGGATTACAGGCACCCACCACCACGCCTGGCTAATTTTGTATTTTTAGTAGAGACGGGGTTTCTCCACCTAGGTCAGGCTGGTCTTGAATTCCTGACCTCAGGTGATCCGCCCGCCTCGGCCTCTCAAAGTGCTGGGATTACAGGCTTAAGCCACTGCGCCTGGCCAGAAAATTTTAAACATACAAAAGTAGAAAGGCTAGTAAGATAAAGCCCCATATATACATCATCCAGTTTTAATCATGGTTCTTGTGGTCTCCATGCACTCACCCACTACAATTAGCTTCTGCTGTTTATTTCGAAGCAAGCCTCTGGCATCATATAATTTCATTCTTAATGTTTCACTAACAGGATGGTTTAAGTTGCGGAAATGTCAGTAGCATTAGTTGGACCTGGAGGCAAGATTTGTTGGGACAGAAAGAAGGAAGAAAAGTAGTGCTAGGACTGCCAGTTTCTCCCCAACATCCATTCATGCCCACCTTTGTATGGTCACAACTCCTGTATCATTTGGGTGGAAATATACCTAGCCTGCCTTATAGCAAGTTATGGTCATGTGACTGAGTTCTGGCTAACATGATATAAGTGAAAATTGTTGAGAAGGACTTCTAGGAAGGGCTTCCTAAACGGGGTATCAAAAGTCTAGAGAAGACTTCTACTCTTGTTATTTTTTATTTTTGCAAAGGTGGATCTGATGGCTGGAGCCCCAGCAGCCACCGTGGACCTGGCAGTAACCCTGAAAATGGAAACCAAGTACTGAGGATGATGGAAAAGAAAGTGCCTGATAACTTCATGGAAACACCGC
This sequence comes from Homo sapiens, assembly GCF_000001405.40. Taxonomy (NCBI): domain Eukaryota; kingdom Metazoa; phylum Chordata; class Mammalia; order Primates; family Hominidae; genus Homo; species Homo sapiens. Next base: position 228,807,004 of record NC_000001.11, read on the forward strand.
ATCATCTTTGGGCTGCCTCATCCGGAATTTTGTGTGATGGAAGAGATCATTGTGTGTTTAAGCCACTATTATTTGGGTTTTCTAATATATACAGCTAATGCTAACCCTAACAGAAGATAAAATGAGCCTTTTTAGATAAGTATGTGTCCTGCACTGGACAGAGAGTTTCTAAGAAACAGATAGAAGATTCTCAAAATTCCTAGCCAATTGTCAAGGAGAAAATGAAATAACCAGTTAATAGCTCTCTCATCTCAGTTATTTAGAACTGGCCAGGATCAAGGTGTCACCATTTAACTGGTAGCAGCTACCAGTGCTAGTACCAGCAAAGGTGACGTAGCATCCTAGAAAAGTAAAAGCACTTTTTTTTTTGAGACAGAGTCTCGCTCTGTCGCCCAGGCTGGAGTGCAGTGGCACGAACTTGGCTCATTGCAAGATCTGCCTCCTGGGTTCACACCATTCTCCTGCCTCAGCTTCCCAAGTAACTGAGACTACAGGCACCCGCCACTACACCTGGCTAATTTTTTCTATTTTTAGTAGAGACGGGGTTTCACTGTGTTAGCCGGGATGGTCTCGATCTCCTGACCTTGTGATCCGCCCGCCTTGGCCTCCCAGAGTGCTGGGATTACAGGCGTTAGCCACCGCGCCCAGCCAAGAGTGAAAGCATTTTTAAATTTTGCCTCTCCAGCTTCTTCTACTAACCAAATTTCACATGGTCATTTACTAATTAGACTCAAAGGAAACCAGCAGCTGCCTCACCAGAAGCTAATAAAATATAATGCAACTGTTCCCACTGATTCTGGACTGGTTTGTCAATCCATTGACCAGGTGAGTCTGAACCAGAGGTGGTTCCCGCCGCCTCAAATTGAAAAGTTATAGATCAACTTAATGAGAGCTCCTGTCTCCAGTTTTAGGTGCCGGCTGGAGGAAATGAAAGCTTAATTTGTGAGGAGGGCAAACAGCCACCCAGTGAGCATATAGGTGGTGAGAAGTTGCCGGGGCTCAGCCCAACAGGGGAGGGAACCTCGGCCTGAATGCAGGGTTTTCATGATGCAGGTCTTCACCAGAGTGCTGTCCTTCCACTTAGAGCTCTTCAGACAGCTGGTTTTATTTTGACTTAAGCCTTCTGCGGTGGGTGATTTTATGTGTCAGCTTTGCTGGTCCATGGTGCCCAGATATTTGGGCAAACTTCCACCTGGATGTTGCTTGTGAGGGTATTTTTTTAGATGAGACTGACATTTCAATCAGCAGACTTTGAGAAAAGCAGACACCTGCCATAATGTGGGTGGGCCTCAACCAATCAGATGAAGGGCTTAAAGGGAAAGACTGGGGTCCCCTGAAGAGGTAGGAATTCTGCCTCCAGACTGCCTTTGGACTCAAGACTGCAACGTCGACTCTTGCTGGAATTTCCAGTCTGCCACCCCTCCCTACAGTTTATGAACTTACCGGGCCCCACAAGCATATAAGCCAGTTCTTTAAAATAAATCTCTCTCTATACATGTACACTCTATCAGCTCCATTTCTCTGAAAAGCTGTGACTAATACACCTTTGCATAAGAAAGAAAACTAAAATAATATTTTATTGACCTGATTGGGCTCTAGTAGGAACAGGAACAGACCTGAGAGGACAGGTGGCTGTCAGTGCCCACAGCCAGTGTACAGCTTCTGCATACAGAAACTCTTAAAAATGCATGAGTTTGGCACAGAACTCTGGGAGCAGCCAATTGCTCTGTGACCCTGAGCAAGTCACTTCCCTTATCTAAGCCTCAGTCTTCTCATCTATACGATGAAGATAATATCTGTTTTATAAAGAAATATGTTCTTGTGGGAATTGGAAGATATAAAGTTTTTGACACAGTGCTTGGCACATGGAAAGGCTTACTAATTCCTAATAATTGCTCTGTAGGGATTTATACTTAAATGAAGTTTGCTTCAATGATGAGTGAGAACTGATAGGGGCTCCTGTAAAAAGATCCAAGGAGGTTAAGTTTGGCCAAGAGTTCTGAGATAAGGAAGAGGTTGGTCAAAAATGAAGTGGAAGAGAATGAGAAAGAAAAGGAAGAAGAGGAGGAAGACAGAATGATGGAGTGAAAGATACAAACACAGACCCAGCCGGAGGGGGGCATTCCACCTGCACCACCTGCAGTGCAGCAGGGGATGAAAATGTTTAGGTCATCGAATCATTGATTCTGACCTGGAAGAGATGTTAAGAAATTATGCAGTGTAGCCTCTTCATGCAAGTTAAGTATTATTTTATTATTTCCATTTTGTAAAAAGACAAAAGATGCACAGGAATTTAAATGTGTTTGGAGTTATCCTAAAAGCAATGGAAAACTATAGAGGAGTTTTAAGCAGGGCTATAACATGATCCAAATAACATTTTAGGAAGGTCTGCCTGCTTGCATTGGGAACAGCAAGAGAGAAAACAGGAAAGCCAGTTAGGGGCCCATGGTAAATATTGGAATAGTGATGATCTGAGTTAGAGAAGTATAGTGAGGAGATCAGAGTCGTTTTAGAGGCGTAATAAGCAGATATTGTCCAATGATGACCCAGCTGAGAAAATGACAACTGTATTCATTATGGGGCCTTGCTGACCCTGGGAGACTTCCAGCTATCAACAGGAAGTAAAGGACTCACCCAGGAGCACACCTTTCAAATGCAAACCAATCAATTCAGAGCTCCCGCTCCCAACCGCCTCCTATGTGGAGCTGTCACACTCTGGGACACTATCTCTTGCCTTAATCACCTCAGACAACCAGGGACAGCCCCTATGCCCCACAGCCCTGAAATTATTCAAACTAGCCAATTCTAAACCTGCCTGCCCTGCCCTGCCCTGCCCCACCCATTCCTTCTCTGTGTTGTGCTGTAACTCCTGTTTCTAGGAAACTGTGAACATAAACTTCTTTCTTCATGACAATCATTTCTGTGCCTGTGTCTCTCACCATAGCAGCTTAAAACAAAGCCCACATGCCCTCATGACACTAATGAATTTGTAGAGGCCCTGCATCAGTCAGGAGTGTATTCAACTTAAGAAAATGGAGCATGTGACCAGAAGCCTGAGGAGGTAGGCACTGTGTTTGGTTCAGAGGCGTGGTGAGGTCAGGGCTGGCCTCTGGGCCATCCTCTTGGAGTTTTTCCAGTGGTCAAAGGTGGCTGCTGCAGATGCTGGCAGGCAGGGGTGAAGCAGGTGAGGAATTTAGAACAATGCTGGAGGGAGGCAGCACTCTTGAAGGCTGTGAATTCCTAAGCAGTAGCTTGGCAACTTCACGGGGAGCTTGGGCTTATGTGCCGAAGGTGGGGAAGAGCCATTTGACATGAGAAAGTCAAGAGCAGGAGGCTGACCTGGTTTCGGGCGTCATTCTTACACATGGTCAAGTCACTTAGCATAATGGCAGGAATGGGGGCAGGTAAGGAAGAGGGTGGAGGAAGAGGATGACTGTGAGTCAGGTGCCTTTGGGAAGAAGGGTGGTGATCAGAAGATCCACAGTTGACAATGACAAAGAGGGCTTAGAGGGTGGCAGTCCTCAAGAGCATGCACCACAGTGGTACAAGGACAGGAGAGCAGTGAGGGGAGGCCCAGTGAGGTTCTGGGCACAGGTCACCAGGACAAAGTCATTAGTGTGCTCTTGGATGGGAGGGTGGGGACAGACAGTCCATGCAGGAACTTGGAGAGGAAGCACAAGGCCTCTCAGAATGCAGCTGTGGATTTGAGTCTTAGGGTCCAGGTTGGGGTGTCATCTTACAATGATACATTTAGATATTCTGAAATTTTAGGGGTTCCTTTTCCCAGCGGCAGGCATGTGCTGATGTCTTAGTCCATTCGGGCTGCTATGACAAAATACCATAGACTGGGTGGCTTATAAACAACAGAAAAAAAATTATTCCTCACTGTTCTGGAGGCTGGGATGTCCCCAAGATCAAGGCATCAGCAGATTTGGTGTCTGGGGAGGACAGGTTGCCTGGTTCATTGATGGCATTTCCTCACTGTGTCCTCGCATGATAGAAGGAGCTCTCTAGGGCCTCTTTTATAAGGGCACTAAACCCATTCACAAGGGCTCCACCCTGATGACCTCTTAATCATCTCTCCAAGGCCCCACCTCCTAATACCATCACCTTGGAGTTCGAATTTCAACGTAACATTCTTGGGGGTACATAAGCATTCAGACCACAGCATCTGGTCTTCTCCTTGTCTGTGTATAAGGAAGGGATGGCTTCATCCCTTTTATCTCTGGCCTCCCAGCTCTCAGCAGTTGTGCCTGCTGAGGCTGAGCATGTGAGGAGGACTGTATTGCAGAGCCTTTACTTGCTTCAGTTTACCTTGCTGGGCTGCCTTCTCTCTCAGTGCCTGCTTGAAACAAAAAAAGGGTGGCTGGGCTTTCTGAGCTGCAAACTGAAAGTGAAAAAAACAAAACAAAACACTTCTTGTTTTTTCTGCTTTGCTAAGAGACTCTTGGCCAAAAAACCTCCCCCCTTTCTCTGGGCTCTCTGTAAATCACAGCCAATGGTTCTTATTTCTGAGCCTTGGAAATGCGTGTTGGAGATGAATGGAGCTGCTGTCATCCCTGCATGAAAGATGGCAGCCCATAACTCTGCTTCAAGGTGTGTCGGACATTGCACGAGGCAGGAAAGTCATTGACCTGGACAAGCATCAGAGCCCCCACTGCCACCTTTGTCCTTTCTGGGCCCTCCTTTTCCCACTCAGTTGGCTGGGAAGCCACAAGGGGCCAAAGGGAGGCCAAGTGAAATCTGAAGGTCCTTGGGGGATTGCAGAGCGAGGTGGGAGATTTATAGCAGGCGTGGGATTATAGCTGGTCCATGTGGGGCCTGAGACACAGCAGAGGGGGTGGAGGAACCTCTTCTCCAGGGCAGCTGGATCCTTCTAGGGGCCAATGGATGCCTCAGTGCCCTGGCAGAGGAGGCGGAGTGGGCACCCATTTGGTCACTGTGGGAGTTTTCTTGTGAATGGCTTCTTAGGAGGTGGGGAGGAAGAAGTGTTTCCAGGCCTGGCGGCCGCATGCAGACATACACCGTTTTCTGGGGTTTCGGCCTTGTGCATCCAGGGAAAGCACATCATGGGACAGCTAACAGCTGGAGTTCTAAGGATCCGGGGAAGCCAAATCAGGGACTGGGATTCTCCCATAGGCTTACAAGCTGAGTCACCACTTTCCTCATTAGCCTTTTGGGCCTCCCTTTCTCCATCAACAGCCAGAACCCATCCTGCTGGGGACGGATGGGATGGATGGGCCTGATCGTGGGCCTCACTGGCAGAGGTCACTGGGACCTGCTGAGAAGGAGGGTCGGGTTCCTTCTGATGCGGTGCAGGGCTGGGGCAGAATTCAGTGCATTATTCGGTGTTCTTGAAGAGGACAATGGCAGGAAATAACAAGTACTGGTGAGGCTGTGGAGAAACTGGAACCTTTGCACATTGCTGGTAGAAATGAAAAATGGTGCAGCCACTGTGGAAAACAGCATGGTGTTCCTCAAAATAATTAGACATAGGGCCGGGCGTGCTGGCTCACACCTGGAATCCCAGCACTTTGGGACGCCAAGGAGGGTGGATCACGTGAGGTCAGGAGTTTGAGACCAGGCTGACCAACATGGCGAAACCCCGTCTCTACTAAAAATATGAAAATTAGCCAGGCATGGTGGTAAGCCTGTAATCCCAGCTGCTCAGGAGGCTGAGGTAGGAGAATCGCTTGAACCCACGAGGCGGAGGTTGCAGTGAGCTGAGATCGCGCCATTGCACTCCAGCCTGGGAGACAGAGCGAGACTCCGTCTCAAAAAAAACACAAAAAGTAGACATAGAACTGCCATATGATTCGGCTATTCCACATCAGGGTATATATGCAAAAAATTCAAAGCAGGGACACAGAGAGATATTTGTACACCCATCATAGCAGCATTATGTGCAATAGCTATGCAGGGAAGCAACACAAGTATCTATTGATTGATGAATGGATAAACAACATGATATGTCCATACAACAAAATATTATTCAGCCCCAAAAGGAAGAAAATGTTGACACATGCTACAACATGCAACTTGAGGACATTGTTAAATAAGCCAGTCACAAATATTGTGTGATTCCACTTTTATGACATACTTAGAGCAGTCAAATTCATAGATACAGGAAGTGGAATGGTGTTTGCTAGTGACTAAGGGGAAAGGGGAGGTATTGTTTAATGGGGACAAAGTTTCTGACTGGGAAGATGAAAAAGTTCTGGAAATAAATTATGGTGATGGTTGCATAACAATGTGAATGTACTCAATGCTACTGAACTGTACACTTAAAAATGGTTACAGTGCTGTTTTGTTATGGATATTTTACCAGAATTTAGAAAAAGATAAGGTCTTTAAATAATAATTATTTAGCCTCAGACTAAGACACATAAAAAAGTGGAGTTTTGAGAGGAATTACATAGCATGAATGATTGCATTTTAACAATTGTACAACAATCAAGAATATTGATAATATTTATATGACACCTAATCACAAAATTTAAGGTATTAATACATTCTATTCAGTTTGCCTGAGGTTGGCACCTGACTGAGGAAGTTTGCAGAGCATCAAGAATTTTAATGTCGCTGTTATGCTATTTAAGGAAACACAGTGTATTTTTTCATCTTTTTATCTATATATGCCATTGTTTAAAAACATACGATAAGTGTTTATGTTAATTTGTTGTTAGGTGAATTTATCTCTTTCTTATTATTAGCAAAACCGTAAAACAACATAGCAGGAAGTTTGGAAAATAAAAAAAAGCTCTCACAATTCTGCCACCCTATTACAACTGATAGATGATCGATTTATTTAGGATAGAGAAAATCTGGGGTTTTTCATGCATTTTTTATTTAGTATTAAAATGTCTTGAGACATGAACAGTGACACAGTTAGGTCTTTAAATATTCAAGTCCATCCAATCCTCAGATTCTCTTGCATGTGGTCAGTGCTATTCTGTTATTTTATTATTCTCTTGTATGAAGTGCCACTTAAAACTATTTTTGCCAGTTGAACGTTCTGTTGCCAGTGAAGTCATAAAATTGTGATTGCTTTTGTAGTTTTCTCATCTCAGGCTCCATGTTTCTTTAGATGTGCAGGCTCATTAGTATAGGAGCCTAGCCTGTATCAGAGCCCAAAGTTCACAAAGGCACAATCATAACGCAGCAGGTTCACACATGAGGGGGACAGCTCCAAATGCCTTCTGCATCCTGTGTTCTGAGAACTTTCTGGATGAAGGACATTACTTACTCATTCCCACTCAACTATAAACAAAAACATGGAGTTAATGGTCCATCATATTGACTTGAACTGTCTGGAACGTAACACACCCCATTTCTGGCAAAAGGCTCCTGGGAAGTTTCACTCCTAATGACAGAGGCTGTTAAAACCTGATCGTTGGATGAGATACCAAGCACAAAACCCAGGCTCCTCATTTAGGCTGGGAGATACCTTTGTTCCCCTGCAGTCCCCTGCTAGGGCGTGGGGCCCCTTAAGGGCAGTACCCTCCTCAGTGTCTGAAGCTTTCCATTTGTGTCAAGGAGACTTTTAACGACCCTAGCCAAGGATGTTAAATCATTGGTCTTCTGGGTGAGAACTTGGATTGTTAGTGGTAATTTCCCCCTATTAATCATACCTTTACCTTTGTTTCTAGGTAGAGCCTTGCTTCCTGAAAAGGGGTTAAATTTCTCTCTTCTTTCTGCTTCCCTTCCTCCAGTACCTCTTCAATCATTTCTATTGTCTAAACGAAAGTCCGAGCAGTTAGTGAGCTACAAGGAGTAGCATTTTATCTTATTTTTAAAATTTCAATGGCTTTTGGGGTACAAGTGGTTTTTGTTTACATGGGTGAATTATATAGTGGTGAGTTCTGAGATCTTAGCGCACCACTCACCCGAGTAGTGTACATTGTACCTACTATGAAGTTTTTAATCTCACATTCTCCTCCCGCCCTCCCCTTTCTGAGTCTCTAAAGGCCATTGTATCACATATCCCTCCGTATGTCTTTGCTTATTCATTGCCTAGCCCCCACTTATAAGTGAGAACATGCGGTTTTTGGTTTTCCATTCCTGAGTTACTTCACTTAGAATAATGGCCCTCAGCTCCATTCAAGTTGCTGTAAGGGACATTGTTTTGTTCCTTTCTATGGCTGAGTAGTATTCCATGGTGTATCCAAGGAATAGCATTTTATAACTGTCCTACTCAAACAGGTAGGTGGTGGCCCTCATTGTGTAAGCCCCACCCATAACATAGGTCAGATCAAGATGCTTCAGGCTGTGAAAGTGCTGAAACATCCAATATCAACCAAATTCATCTGGGAGAAACACTATAGTTGTTTGTTTTGTTTTGTTTTGTTTTGTTTATAGACAGAGTCTCACTCTGTCGCCCAGGCTGGAGTGCAGTGGCTTGATCTCGGCTCACTGCAGCCTCCACCTCCTGGGTTTAAGTGATTCTCCTGCCTCAGCCTCCTGAGAGGCTGGGATTACAGGCATATGCCACCACGCCTGGCTATTTTTTTTTTTTTATGAGCCAGAGTTTCACTCTGTTGCCCAGGCTGAAGTGCATGGTGCAATCTCAGCTCACTGCAATCTTCGCCTCCTGGGTTCAAGCGATTCTCCTGCCTCAGCCTCCCGAGTAGCTGGGATTACAGGCATGCCCCACCATGCTCAGCTAATTTTTCTATTTTTAGCAGAGATGGGATTTCGCAATGTTGGCCAGGCTGGTCTTGGACTCCTGACCTCAAATGATCTGCCCATCTTGGCCTCCCAAAGTTCTGAGATTACAGGTGTGAGCCACCAAGCCCAGCCTGTATTTTTAGTAGAGACAGGGTTTCACCATATTGGCCAGGCTGATCTCAAACTCCTGACCTCAAGTGGTCTGCCTGCCTCAACCTCCCAAAGTGCTGGGATTACAGGCATGAACCACTGTGTCTGGCCAGATTATCAAAGCTTTATCAACATATATGATTTTAACTGAAAAGACCAATTATATATTTCACGCCATATAGGCATAAGAACCATCCTCAGCTTTTAGAAAGCTATTCAAGTTTTGTGAGGATTATGAGGGATGGTAGGATTCAGTCCAGTCCTGGATCTAGCACTTCTTCAAAGCATGCACAGACTTGGTCAGACCCCTTCCCCGTGTGAATGGAAAGCAATTCAGAATGCCCAAGGTCATGGTGAGGTTGATGGGTGAAATGAAGACGACACAGGGTCTGGAATACAGACACTGAGCCCTACATCAAAGCATGTATAACTTGCCTCATGCTTTATGATGTTTTTCTGGATGCTTTTTCTCAAAAAGGATCACTTTGGTTTTGTTTTTGATGACTGCTTAGGGAGGATGTCTGGCCCAGTCAGAAGTTGGAAGTGAAAAATTTTTGCTAACTGGTTTGACCTAGTGTCATTCATTGAACAAAAACTATTATATGCTTTCTCTTCACTGTGATAGATGCTAAAAACAAAAAAAGGTAGAGAAGATATGTTCTTGATGACTTATAATCTGGAGGAAGACAGAGTCGTGCCATGAAAAAGTGCCACATTGATGGCATGTCCTGCAGAGAGTGGGGAAGGGAATGACAAGCTCTGGACCCTGAAAGCAGGAAAGCCCTCGCAGATGTGTTGTCCTGAGAGTGTGCCCTAAAGAAGGAGAGAAAATATCAGGTGGAAAAGGTGGGAAAGGATATTCTAGGCAGAAGGACCAGCTTATATAAATGCACATAGTGATGTTAGGTCAGGGTACATGCAAAGAAGTGTGAGTAGAATTGGCTGGACATGGTGGGTTATACCTCTAATCTCAGCACTTTGGAAGGCTGAGACAGGAAGATTTCTTGAGGCCAGGCGTTCAAGACCAGCCTGGGCAACATCGCAGGGCCCCATCTCTATTTTTTAAAAAGTTGTGTTAGGAACAGGGGCTGGGAAAGTGGACGTTGGTGGAAGCAAGAAGAGCCTTGTTATTTAGGAGGGGTTTCATACTTGCTAATAAACACATTACTATGGCTTATAGACAACAGAAACAAATAAATGACTTCAGGGGCTTGGCAATAAAGGATTGGCCCACTCAGTGAGGTAACAAAACTTGGTAGCACTGGTGCAGAACATCCAGTTGAATTCTCCTAGGCTTCTCCCTAGGCAGCAGTTTTCCTACCTTGAGTTCTGCTAAGCATTAACATTAAAAAGAAAGAGGAAGAAAAATAAGATGTTTGGTTGAGAAAGAAGACAAGTGCATTCATAGAGATCTTAACTAAACTGGAGAAGTGAGAAGGCCAGGAGGTAGAGGGAGCTTGTTCCAGATGGCAGAAATGGTGCCTATTAATTAATCATCACCAAGTCAATTAAACATTTGGATGAACACAATGCGGGAATATTTGAGAATCTCAGCTGAAAGGGTTAATTAAAGCTAACCTCAGCTGCAAGAGTTGGCTTTGTTCTAGGTAAAGAATTATAGTTAGAGAAAGTGATAGTATACTTTTCACCTTCCAGTGTGACTGATTTCTATTTGGGGGAAGCCAACAAAGAGAAGTAACATCATCAGGCCAATCTACCACTTTGTTTCTCAAATATAAACCTCTCTGTTCATGAAATTCATAAAGAAGAATTACAATGAGCAAACAAACATATGAGCAGATGCTCAATCTCACTTTCAACCAAAGCCATGCGAATGGCAATATCAGGAAAGAATCGCTTTATGCCCATTAACTTTGCTAAAAACATGGTAATAGTAAGAGTTGGCAAGATTGGTTGTGGCCAGTATTAGAGAGTATTCATTCAACAAAGTCATGTTGACCAAATTCTGTGTATCAGACACTTGAAAGGCACTGATATGCAGAATAATAGAAACCCTTACTCCCCTTTACCCAGTAATACTCTAAAGAAACAATTCTAAAGAAATAATCTTCACTTCTGCTCTACTCCAATGAAAAACTTGCACTAAATGTATACACAGATGAAGAGAGTCATTGCAACGTTGCTAATTATAAATAATTGTGGAAAGCAAAGTTACATAATTGTCCAATGATATAGAAATGTTTATTAAATTATTACGATAGTTTATCCATTATATTTGTCAGTGCAGAATAGGTTATGGTTGCAATAACAAATAATTCCAGAAATTGCAGTCACCTAACACACCATTGATGACAGTGGCTGCTACCATCATGGTGGCTGCAGCAGGGAGGTGTGGATGGAGCTGCACACTCCATGGAGCTCCCCAGGTGCTGCTGCAGCTGCCCAAACCACGACTGCAGACCCAGGCCTCCTGCTCTGTGAGCAGGCAAAAGCCCTGCCCTCCTGAGCAGGGCTATAACTGCCCAAACTGCAGCTGTGCATCAGAGCCTCCCTGTGCTCTTGCGGGAGGGCTGGGAGCGGGCAGGATCTGCCTTCCCGGGTGCAGCTGCCCTCCCAGGTGCAGGACCCGGGTGTCTCTGCAGCCTGAACCCTTGGGTGCCCCAGGAAGGACCCCCACACTTCTCCTGCAGAGCAGAGAGAAGCCAAGCAGCAGGAGCAGACACCCTGGAGCCTGGTCACGGTGGGGGGTGGCCGCCCGATGGCCCCCAGGCTGCTTCCAGTGCCTGCTCTAATCTCAGAGCAGGGGTTAGGGCCAAGGCCCAGGGGCCATGAATGGTAGTGGAAGGCAGATTGTTTACTGGGCAGGATGGGGCAGGTCCCCAGTAAGTTCTCACTTTCAGGCCAGGAAGGGTCTGAAGGCTGGGGACCTGGTTGCCAGTCCCGCTGACCAGAGTGGGAACTCGTGGTACCTCTTCCGGTCTGCCCATGGCTGCCCATAGACCAGTTGGCACCCACTTCCTCCCCTCTGAGGTCCATAAAAGCCCTGGGCTCAGCCAGAGCAGGGCAGAGGACAGGAGAGGATGAAGACATTGGAGAGAAGACTGGATGGCCAGCAGCAGAGAGGAGTACCCTCTCTGCTGATAGCTGGAGATGACAGAACAACCATTTGCAGAGAGGAGCTACCCTCTCTGCTGAGAGCTGCAGAGACGACCTGCTGGCAGAGAGAAGCCACCTTCTCCAAGGCCTCCTCTCTGCTGAGAACTGAACACTTGAGAGATTACCTGCCTACCGAGAGGAGCTGCCCACTGAGGATCTCCTCTGAGCTGTTGTAACACTCAGTAAAGCTCATCTTGGTCTTGTTCACCCTTCATTTGTCTGTGTACCTCTTCCTGGACACAGGACTCAGACAAAGCCGCCATGGCCACAGAGGTTTCCGGCCAGAAAATTGACACCCCCAAGATCCTGAAACACCATGACCGTATCTCTTACTCATGTAATGTCCAGTGTAAGCTGATCAACTAACAAGAGAATCTCTCCTTAATGAGGTGAATCAGGGATTCAGGCCACTCCATTCTGTGATGCCAGAATTTCAATATACGGTTTTTAGGAAGGGGAAGAGAGGAAATATGAAATCTCACACCCACTCTTAACTACTCTGACTAGAAGGGACATATCACTTCTGCTCACAGCCCATTGGGCAAAACTAGTCATATGGTCTTAAATCTAGCTGTTCTTTATATCTTTTGTTCATTTTCTGTCTGGATTCTTTGCTTTTGTTGTTGAGTTTTGAGAGGTTTTTTTTTCTTTTATTCCAGATACTAATCCTTTGTTGTATGTATGATTTGCCAGTATTTTCTCCCACTCTGTAGCTTGTCTTTTTTATCAAAAAAGGTCTTTTTCAGGGCAAAAGTTTTAAATTCTGACAAAGTCCAAATTATCAATTTTTCCTTTTATGAATTGTGCTTTCAGTATCGAGTGTAAGCAGTCTTTGTGTAGCCCTAGATCTCAGAGTTTCTCTTAGTAGTTTTTCTAAAAGTTTTATAGTTTTAAGTTTGACATTTAACTCTATGACTATTTTGAGTTAATTTTTGTATAAGGTATGAGATTTAGGTTGAAGTTCATTTGTTTGCCTATGGATGTCCAGTTGCTCCAGCATCATTTGTTGAGAAAGGTATCTTTCCTTCACTGAATTGCTTTTGCATCTTGTCAAAACTAGTTGAGCATATTTCTGTGGTCCTATATCTGAGTTCTCTATTCCGTTCCATTGATGCTTGTGTCTACCCCTTTGACAATACCTCATAGTTGTAAAATAGAGTAAATGAATTTCTCACACTTCATTCATTTTCAAAATTGTTTTAGCTATTGTAGTTCTTTTGCATTTCCATATACATTTTAGAATAATCTTGTCTATGCCTACAAAACATTATTGCTGGGATTTTGATAGAAAATCTGTATATAAACTTGGGGAGAATGGACATCTTTACTATGTTGAGTCTTCTGATCCATGAACATGATATGTCTCCCCATTTATTACATCATCTTTGATTACTTTCATCAGTATTGCGTAGTTTTCAGTAACAAGTTCTACACATGTTTTATTAGATTTACACCTAAATATTTCATTTTTGGAACAATTGAAAATGGTATTATATTTTTAATTTCAGTGTATGTGGGTTCATTGCTACAATATAGAATTATAATTAATATTTGTATGTTTATATCTTGTAACTTTGCTAACATCTCTTATTGTAAAAGTTCCTTGGGATTTTCTACAAAAACAATGATATCATCTACAAATAAGGAATGTTTTATTTCTTCCTTTTTTTTTTTTTTTTTAACAATATGGTGTTTGCTTGACTTACTGCACTTGCTAGAACTTCTAACAGTATATTGAATATGGGTGGTGGGAGTGTACATCCTTGCCTCATTCTCAACCTTAAAGGAAAAGCATTTAGTCTTTCACTGTTAGGCATGCTGTTAGCTATAGGGTTTGTTGTTCGTTTGTTTGTACATTTTTTTTAATCAAGTTGAAATTCTATTTCTATTTTCCTGAGAGTATCATGAAAGGATATTGAATTTTGTCAAATGCTTTTTCTGTATCAATTGATATAATAACATGCAGTATTTTAATGCTATTCTGACACTAATAACCCAGAATTAGTGTAAACTTCATAGGTTTATGGCACAGTCCCAACAAGACTGCTCTCACTTTAGATGCCACCATGAGTTCTGGGTTTCTCAGGCCATCCACACGTCTGACTAATTGGTAGTGGCACTTCCTACCTCTTCCAGTTTAATAAGTCACTAGAACAACAACTCGCAGAACTCAAGAAAGTGCTACACTTATGAATAAAGTTTTGTTATAAAAGATACATATTGGGACCAGCAAGAAGAAGACATCCAGAAGGCAAGGTCTTGGAGGGTTATGAATACAGAGTTTCTGTGTTCACTTCCTAGAAAATCAAGATGTCTTATCCTCTTGGCACATCAATATGGTCACTAACTAGGATGCTCAATCAAGCTTTAGTGTCCAGAGTTTTTAATTGGAGTTTCATTATGTCAGCATGATTGATGGAATTATTTGCCACACGATTGAACTCAAACTCCAGCTTCTCTGTCCTCCTTGAACATTGGGAGGTTGGGATGATGTCACATGGCTCAAAGTTCCAAACCTCTAAACACATGTTTGTCTTTCTGGCATGGCCAGCCCCCAACCTGAAACTTTCTAGTGAGCATTTTTTTTAATGCTCACCCTGAGTTACCTCATTTGGATAAACTCAGGTATGGTCCCGCAATGAATAACAAAGGCATTCTTATCATCAGGGAAATTTCTGGTGATAAGAAGGGTGTAGAAGATCCCTCCCAGGAACCAAGGACAAAGACCAGACAAATTATTTATGATACATTCTGGTATTTTCTTTTTTGCCAGATACTATGGTTATGTTAATATTGATTGATTTTCAATTACTGAAATATCTTTGCATTCCTAGAATAAAGCCTACTTGGTCATGGTGTATAGATTAAAAAATACATATTACTGAATTCTATTTGCTAATATTTTGTTAAGGATTTTTGCTTCTATATTCATGAGAGATATTGTGTATATAATTTTCTTTTTTCAAAACTAGGATATTGATTTTATAAAATTAATTAGGAAGTGTTCTCTCCTTTTCTATTTTCTGGAAAAATTGTGTAGAATTGGTGTTAATTTTCTATAATGTGTTTAATAGAACCTCTAGTGAAATAATCTGTGCCTGGAGATTTCTTCTTTGGAAGGTTTTAAATTATGAATTCAATTTTCATAATAGGTATAGATAATTCAAATTATCAATTTCATATTGAATAAGTTGTGGTAGTTTGTATTTTTTGAAGAATTGGTCAATTTCACTCAGTTGTCAAATTTATGTATGTAGAGTTAGTTGTTCATAGTATTTATTATCCTCTTGATGTCTGTAGGGTTTGCAGTGAAATCCCGTTTCATTCCTGATATCGGCAATTTGTGTCATCTCTCTTCTTTCTTTGTCAATCTTGGTAGAGTTCTGCCAATTTTGTTGATCTTTTTTAAAAAAAGAACCATCTGTTTCATTTATTTTCCCATCATTGTTCGGTTTTTAATTTCTGTTCTTATCTCTATTATTTCTCATCTCCTACTGGCTTTGGGTTTATTTTGCTATTCTCTTTCTAGGTTTTTCAGATGGGAGCTTAGATTATTGATTTGAGACAGACTTTCTTTTCTAAAGTATACATTTAATGCCATAAATTTCCCCCTCAGTGCAGCTGTAGCTGTGTCTCACAACTTCTGGTGTATGGTATTTTAATTTTTATTCAGTTCAATGCATTTTAAACAATTTTCCTGGAAACCTCCTTTTTGAACTATGGATTGCTCAAAAGTATGTTGTTTCATTTCCAAGTGCTTGGAGATTTTCCTGTTATCTCTCCATTATTGATTTTTAGTTTGATTCCATTGTGGTAGGAAGACATGCTCTATATTATTTTAATTCTTTTAAATTCGTTGAAACTTGTTTTATGGCTCAGGATACAGTCCATTTTGGTATATGTTTCATGGGCATTTGAGAAGAATGTATAATCTGAAGCAGTTGGGTAGTGTATTAGTCAGAGTTCCCCAGAGGGACAGAACCAATAGGATATATATGAAAGGGAGTTTATTAGGGGAATTTGGCTCACATGATAAGAAAGACGAAGTCCCAGGATAGGCCATCTTCAAGCTGGAGGAGTAGAGAAGCTGGTAAGTATGGCACCCTGGAAAGACAGCTAGTGTGGTTCAGTCCAAGTCCAAAAGCCTCAGAACCAGGGAAACCAACAGTTGCAGCTCCAGTCTGAGGCCAAAGGCCTGAGAGCCCCTGGGAGACTACTGGGAAGCTGCTGGTTCAGGCCCCAGAGTCCAAAAACCAAAGATCCTGGAGTCTGATGTCCCAGGACTACAGGAGAAAAAAGAATCCTTCTCTGGAAGGGAGAGAGAGAAGAAGCAAGAGCAAGCTGAATATCTCCCTCCTTCTGCCTGGCATTTTTCTGGCTGCACCCGCAGTGGATTAGATGGTGTTTATCCACATAGAGGACGGGTTTTCCTCTCTCAGTCCACTGACTCACATGTCAGTCTCCTCTGGAAACACCCTCACAGTTACACCCAGAAACAAGGCTTCACTAGCCCTATAGGTATCCCTCAGTTCGGTCAAGGTGACAGCTAGTATTAATCATCACAGATGGAGTGTTCTAGAAATGTCAGTTAGATCCTATTGATTGATGGTATGGTTGAGTTCTATATACTTGCTAATTTTCTGTCAAATTGTCCTATTAATTGTTGAAAGAGGGGTGTTGAAGTCTTTAATTATAATTGTAGATTTGTCTTTTTCTCTTTTCAGTTCTATCATATTTTACAGCTTCATTGTTTGGTGCATTTACATTTAGGGTTGCCATATCCTCTTGGTGAACTGACCTTTTTATCATCATAGAATGTCCCTCTCTGTCTCTGGTAATTATCTTTGCTCTGTAGTCTGTTTTATCTGATATTAATGTTGTCAGTCCTGCTTTTTGTTTTTTGGGGTCAATGTTTGTGTAGTATATCTTTTTCTATTATTTTACTTTCAACCTGCTTATATTATTGTATTAGAAGTGAATGTCTTTAGGCAAGCTGTATTTAGGTCATGGTTTCTAATTTGCCAATCTCTGTCTTATAATTGGTGTATTTAGATCATTTGTGTTTAAAGTAATTATTGATATGTTAGGACTTAAGTCTGTTGTTTTATGTTTTTGTTTTCTGTTTGTTCTCTCTGCTTTTCTTTTCCCTGTTTGCTCTTTCCTGCCTTATTGTGGGTAACAAACATTTTTAAAAATTTTATTTTGGTTTATCTATCGTGTTTTTGAATATATTTCTTTGTATAGTTTTTAATGGTTGCTCTAAGTATTACATTTTCTATATATGACTTATTGTAGTCTATATATAGTCTTACAGTCATATTTTGCCAATTTGTGTGAAGCAAAAAAAATCTTACCTGCCTTTACATCCCTTGCATCTGCCATTTAGAACATACTTGTCTCAAGTATTCCTCTATATACATTAAGAGTCACACCAAACAATGTTATAGTTTTAGTTTCAACGTCAAACATTATTTAGAAATCTCAAGAGGAGAAGAAAGTTTATTGTATTTACCCATTTTTTTTTTTTGCTTACTGTCTTCTTTCATCCTTCCTGATGTTTCAAACTTGCTTCTTTTATTGTTTTCTTTCTACGTAGAGAACAACCTTTGGCCACTCTTTTAGGGTAGGTCTGCTGGTGACAAATCCTCTTAGTTTCCCTTCATCTGACAATGTCTTCATTTCCCCTTAATCCTGAAGACTTGTTTGTTTGCTCGCTTGTTTTTATGGGTATAAGATTCTGATTTGGCCAGGCGCAGTGGCTCATACCTGTAATCCCAGCACTTTGGGAGGCCGAGGTGGGTGGATCGCCTGAGGTCAGGAGTTCGAGACCAACCTGGCCGACAAGGTGAAACCCCATCTCTACTAAAAATAAAAAAAATTAGCTGGGCACCTGTAATCCCAGCTACTTGGGAAGCTGAGACAGGAGAATCACCTGAACCCAGGAGGCGGAGGTTGCAGTGAGCTGAGACCACGCCATTGCACTCCAGCCTGGGTAACAGAACAAGACTCTGTCTCAAAAAAAAAAAAAAGAAAAAAAAAAAGATTCTGATTTGACAGTTCTTTTCTTTCAGCATTTGAAAAATATCGTGCCACTTCTTTTTGGCCTCCTTGTTTTCTGATTATAAATTTGTTGTCATTTGTTTTATAATCTTTGTTTTTTAATCTTTTGTTTTCAAAATATTTAGTTTTCAGAAGTTTAATTATGATGTGTTTTGGTGTGGATTTCATTATTTTTATCTCATTTGGAGTTTAATCAGCTTCTTGAGTCTGTGTATTTATGTCTCTTGCCAAATTTGGGAATTTTCAGCCATTATTTTTCTGAGTATGTTTTCAGTCCTGCCCTCTTTCTCTTTTCTTTCCAGAACTCTGATGACATAAATCTTAGATATTTTGTTATAATCCCACAAGTCTCTGATCCTCTATTCATTTTTTCTCAGTCAGTTTTCTCTCTTGTAAAGATTAGGAGCTTTGTATTGTTCTAACATCCAGGTCACTGATTCTTTCTCTGCTCTTTCCATTATTCTTTGAACCCATTCACTGAGCTTTTCATTTCAGTTATTGTGTTTTTCAGTTTTAAATTTTCCGATTATATCCTCTATGGCTGAGGCTTCCTATTTTTTATTTGTTTCAAGTATGTTCATAATTGCTTGCTGAAGCTCTTAGAAGTTTTTAAATTATGATAAAATACATTCTAACCATTTTAGAAGTGTGTTGTGTAGTTTCCAAGTACACTTTTTAAAGTGTACAGTTAGTGGCATTAAATACATTCTCACTTTCATGTACTATTGAAGCACTTTTATGATGACTACTTTAACATCTTTGTTGGGGAATTCTAACACATCTGTCATCCCAGTGTTGACATCTACTGATTGTCTTTTTTTATTCAGTTTGAGATCTTCCTGGCTCTTAGTATGACAGGTGATTTTCAATGAGAATCTATATAGCTTCATCTGATGTTATGATACTCTGGATCTCATCTAAACCTCCTACATTACCTGGATTTCTCTGACACTCAATTCTGCCTCAGTATTGCCCGCTGGAGTAGAGAAGTTCAGGTTCCCATTTGGCCTCTGTTGACACCCAAGAGGAGGTGTTTCAAGACTGCCATGTAGGGTGAACATCTAGTCTCCCCATGTGGTTACCACTGATGCTGTGGGAGAAGAAGGGATTTCACACCAGCCAGTGGGGATTCAAGTCTTAGCTCCTTACTTGGCCTTCTCTGGTACTACCCCTGTGGGAGTTTTGGGGCACCTTGTGATAGCCTGGCCAGGGTGAAGTCTAGACTCCCCACTCGGTCTTTGGTGGTGTGAGTGAGGGAGGGTAAGACCATGGATGTTTTTTCTATAGTGTTTGGCTGAGGTTGAGTGATTATTAACTAAGTGTTTCCTGTCTTGCGAGGCTGCCGTTTCCTGGCTCTTTGGCTAGAGAGAACAGGCTTTTGTTGGAACTTCTTTTTGTCCGTGTTCATTGGCATTTCTGGATTTCTGGCTTCTTCAGCACCAATTATGGAATACATGAGGCAAACAAACTAATTAACAGAAAACTAAAACAATCAAAACAAACCTAGGGATTTTATCACCATGTTATTTGTTAGGTCCTAAGGTCCCTAACTCATCTGCCTTCCTCTCTCCACCTTTTGAAGTCTTCTTAGGTTTGTCTTATTTGTGTTTACTGTCTTGGGCTTTTAGTTGTACTTAGCAGAAAGAATAAGAATGATGGAGGTCTACTTCATCTTTCTGAGATGTCTGCTTACTTTTAACTTTCTGCTCTGCCTAGCTTCAGATTTTGAGGAATTTTTTTAGAGGAAGCCAGGCAGTGGGATAAGCCCACTTCTCTGCCCTTTCATTCTCATCCAAATAATTGGTCCTTCAAGTGTAAATGAAAAATTCCCAAAACTCTGCCGACCCTCTGTCCCCTGAAGCAGCCTTTGCCTATGCAGAGCCCAGATTCTCAGTTCATAACTGGTTCCCAGAATCAGCAAATGCCACAAGGGTTAATGTAGCTGCACAAAGTCAGCTCACTTCTACATGGGTCCTCCCTCCTTAGAATCTCGGACCCTCTAGTCCCCTTCACTTCAGTGACTCTTTGATGCATGGAAAATAATTTTTAAAATATTTTATCCAGCTTTCTAAGTTACTTTTGGCAAGAGCATTAATCAGCCCCAAGATACTCATCCTTACTGAAACTGGAAGTCTGCTTCTCAGAATTCATGTGACAGTATTGTACGTGAGTGGCTTTATGTCACAAGACCCCTTTCCATTGGCTAACGTATTCCAAGTAGCAAAGGGATAGTGTTACAGGGTGTGGTTAAAAGTGTGGGCTCCGAAATCAAAGGGACTTGGTTTTGAATGCTGGCTCTGCTACCTACCAGCTGTGGGTCATTTTTTAGACTTCCTAAGCCTTGGTTTTCTCATCTTTTAAAGTGGGGATGTTAAAATACTCATCTGAAAGGGTTGCTGTAAGAATAAAATGAGATAATTCAGGTAAAGGACTTTTTTTTTTTTGAGATAGAGTCTTGCCCTGTCGCCAGGGTGGGGTGCAGTGGCACGATCTCGGCTCACTGCAACCTCTGCCTCCTGGGTTCGAGCAGTTCTCCTGCCTCAGCCTCCCAAGTAGCTGGGACTACAGGCTCACACTGCCATGCCCAGCTAATTTTTTGTATTTTAATAGAGACGGGCTTTCACCGTGTTCTCCAGGCTGTTCTCAAACTCCTGAACTCAGGCAGTCCGCCCGCCTCAGCCTCCCAAAGTGCTAGGATTACAGGCGTGAGCCACCGTGCCCTGCAAGGGACTTATTTTGATAACTCATACATAGTACGTGAAGACAAGGTGTTAGCTATTGTTTAATATTAATGTTCTAAATAATTGACTTATATCCAGTCAACATGATTTTATTTAACCCACAAATACATGAGTTGATTAACTGTTTATTTACTAGTGACTCATATTTGTGATTTTATTTCAACAACAAAAAATGTAGATATCAAGCCCCCCTCTCTTCTTATCCTAGAACTGGGAGATAGTCTGCTTTACAGTCAGCATAAACAGATACAGAAGTTGATAATTTGAAGTAGAAAAAATATTACTTGCTATTATATGAAACAAATATATACTATGTGGAAAGGTTTAGGTACTTCAAAAGAAATTAAGTAGAACTGAGAAGAGAGAAGGAACTCTGGATTAGAGTAAATCCGTGAAGCTGCTGGTGGGATTGCAGTGGAGAACTATTTGGGAGAAGAAGGGAATGTGTATCTTATCTGGAAGTTCTTTTAGTTCTCTGGATTGTATTTGGGACATATATAGCTCTGTTCATAGAAAAAAAAGATGAATGAGAAAGGGGTAGGTTACTGATTGGGAAAGAAATGCAATGTTAACCAAAAAAAAAAACCAGAGTCTCTCAGTTTCTGTTTTGCTTCTTTCTCCCCTATCAATGAGCATGATTTTGAAAATGGGGAAGAATAGAATGATGATTAAGAGTAAATGAAATCCCAGAATAGGCAATACTCCACAAAGGGGACATTAACTTAGGTATCTGGGTCTAGGATTAACCAAATGAACTGCAAGAACTTGTACTTTCAAACTCAATATTTGGAAACTTAAAGATAAAAAAAAAAAAAGAAAGAAAAAAAGGCTACGAGGAAGCAGGAGAGTATAATGGTTAGGAGATTGGTCTTGGTGTTAGACCGGCCTGGGTTCTAGTCCCAGCTCTGCCACTTATTAGCTACATCACAGTGGAAGAGGAAACTGGCTGGGTGTGGTGGCTCATGCCTGTAATCCCAGCACTTTGGGAGGCCAAGGCAGGCAAATCACTTGAGGTCGGGACTTTGAGACCAGCCTGACCAACATGGCAAAACCCCTTCTACACAAAAAATAAAAAATAAAAATACAAAAAATTAGCTGGGCATGGTCATGTGCACCTGTAATCCTAGCTGTTTCAGGAGTTTGAGGCACGAAAATTCCTTGAGCCTGAGAGGAAGAAGTTGTAGTGAGCTGAGATCGGGCCACAGTACTCCAGCCTGGGCAACAGAGAGAGACACCAACTCAAAGAAAAAAAAAAAAAAGGAAAAAGAAGAAAGACGAAAATCTCTCCTAGCTTTATGACTTCTCCATTTCTAAAATGGAGAAAATCTATGAATCTATAACAATCATATACTAATCACTGAGAGAAGGAGAGAGAAGAAAGTCCTCCATTCACACTATTTGTTGCAGCAAATAATCAATTTCTTATCTGAAGGTCGTGTAAGAATAATAATCGTTAATCTTGCCCTTCCAATGGGAAATATACTTTATGGTAGCCAAATAACTTCAGTTGATAAAGGAAAGCTCTGCTTGACAGAAGAATGCAGGTAATAAATGCAGAAGGAATGATAGAATTAGGAAGGTCATGGACTTGAATTTTCTCATTGTTAATTAGAAATTAAAATTCCTATTTGTTATCAAATAGTATTTAAAAAGGAAAAGTCAGAACAGGTGTCTTAATTCGTTTGTATTGCTATAAAGGAATACCTGAGCCAGGATAATGTGTGTGTGTGTGTATATATATATATATATATATATATATATATATATATATATATATGTAAAGAGGTTTATTTGGCCCTCAGTTCTGCAGACTGTACTAGAAGCATGACAGGAGCATCTGCTTCTGGTGAGGACTCAGGGAGCTTCCACTCATGGCAGAAGGTGAAGAGGAGCCAGAGTGTGCAGAGATCACATGGCCAGACAGGAAGAAAGACAGAGGGGAGGAAGGTGCCAGGCTATTTCCAACAACCAGCTGTCGCAGAAACTAATGAGAACTCACTCGCCTTGAAGGGAGGGCATTAATCTATTCCCGAGGGATCCGCCCCCATGACCCAAACACCTCCCATTAGGCCCCACCTCCAACATTGGGGATCAAATTTCAACATGAGATTTGGAGGGGACAAATACCCAAACCATAGCAATGGGATAGATAAATTTCCTTGACATTGATCCCCTTCTAAACTCCAAACTGTGCTTTAAAAACAGTATTTTTAGTTTTAAGGGATGTTGATAAATCAAGGCATCCAGAAGAGGTAAACAAAATGGTCACAGAAAGTGAAGCCAGGCTGGAGAAAAGAAGACTCTGGAGAAAATCAAACCCTACAAGGAGCCCTCATGCAGTGCACAGAATAAATTCACTATTTGGTAGCTTCAGAAGGTGGAATAAGGGTGGGATGAAAGACATTTCAGGGAGTCCAAAGTGAAACGCTTCAGTTAGCGTTGGAGAAGAGAGAACTGGAGTTGGAGGGAGGCAAGGTGCTGAAGTGAGTTGCCAACACCAATTCCTCTGGACTGTGTCCCTGAGGTGATGATGCAGGGCCTGTGGGAAGTGGGCCAGGGGCCTGTCATTCTGGTTCTGTGGGTCTTGACCAACCAGCCCCTAGAGTGCTGGGGCTCAGAACACCTCACCTGGCTGTTTGTGCCTTGCCCAGTAGGTTGCAGGCGGGCAGCCTGCTGGGCTCTTTGCCGAGTTGAGTGGTTTGTCTCCATCTGGCTGCTGTGAAATCACATGGGCCTGTTGGCTGCGATTGTTTGCGGGCTGCCTCCCTGGATGGTGGGGTTCTGTGCTCTGGCTCCTGGGCTCTGACTGCTTTCCAGGGAGCACTGTTTCGCATGGGGTACTCAGGAAACTTCCCAATCAGATGGAAAGAATAAACACAGACTTCAGCTGACTAGCTCTGCACTTTCTTCGGGGTTCTGAGAAACCAAAGGCAAACACACGTGGTGTGCAGTGGTGTGCCCTGTAGGGGAAGCCTGTGAGTGGCGCGCACAGCGCAGGTTCCCTCTGCGGGGTGCAGGAGCAGAGGACTGGTGCTGGTGGGCCTTTCTCTGCGTGTCCAGAACTGTCGGCTTGTGCACGCTAGGCCTGGCAATATGTGTGTGCATGAGTGTGGGCATGCATCTGTGTGTGTGCACATCAACACACAGGTTGTGCTTTTAGTATGACATTCTGTGTTTTCATCTAAGTGCTTGAGGGCCCCTGACTTGCCATGGTTTTCCAAATAAAGAAACTTAAATAAACACAGTGGGGCCCCAGAGGCTGGGATGGGACCATGCTTCTGTAGAATTTCCATGTGCCCTGAGCTATGCTGTTACTCTAATTACTCCTCATTTTAATTCCATTTTGAGGCTTATCAGCCCTATGCTCTTCTACTTTGGGACTGGGCCAAGGAGGCAGGGGGTAAACTGAGTCCAGGCGATCCCGGAGCCTCCAGGGCCAGCCCTGGGAGCTCGCAGGCCTTTGCTGGGGCAGCAGGAACTCTGCTTTGCCTATGACATCCTGTGCTTTGGTCTGGGAGATTTCTGTATGAGTCATTTTCAGCTCAGAACACCCTAGCTGTGGTTAATTACCTGAGGTTTTACTGGACTCCTTCTCCAAGCGTTCATTGTTGTCCGGGCCGCCTCATCATGCCCCCACACGTGTCCTCCTCTGGGGAGGTTTGGAAAAGAGCCTTTAGCCCAAGTTACTGTGACCTTTGGTACCTGTAGGACACATTTTTATCCCTCTTCCTGATTCTAATCTTACTGAGCCACCAAAACCTTTTTGTTTGTTTTAATAAACTTCTAATTTTAGAATAGTTTTAGATTTACAGAAAAGTTACAAAGTCTCCATGTACCTCCTTACAGTTAACCCTATTAACATCCTTCATCAGTAGAGTACTAATGAGCCCAGATTGATACATTATTATTAACTAAAGTCTATTTTCAGATTCCCTTAGTTTTTACCTCGGGTCCTTACCATGTTCCAGTCTTCATCTAGAATACCTCGCTATGTGGAGTTGTCGCATCTCCTGGGCTCCTTTAGCTATAACTGTGACCAGAAAGATCCCTCTCATCCTCCTTGTCTCCCTCTACCTTTCTTTTATGATTGTGGTAAAAAAAAAAAAAAAAAAAACACATAAAATCAAGATCCATTTTTAAGGTCTGTTGCTGAAATGGCCAAAATGGCCCCAAAAAAAATATTGCCAGTTGCTGTGAGGTTTCATGAGCAACTGAGGGTATTTGAACCCTTCTTTCTAGAGCAAGAACTCTGACCGCCATCGCTTTTGTGTACCCAGCGTTATTTAGAACTGAAATCTGCCCCAGAGCCGGAGGAAAGGAGGCACAAACCATCTCAGCCGTGCAATGTTCCTCTGTTGAAAATGTCTCTCCATTTTTTTGTGCTAATCCAAATGTGTATTTCATTTAACGTTCAATTTGATCAACCTGTTAGAGAGGGACTGTGGCACCCAGAATTCTTCCTTCTAGTCTTGATTCCTACAAAAGTGTACAAGAATAGTTTGTACTGCACCATCTTGTGCAGCTCAGTGGCTTGAATCAGGTTGGCTTTTCAATCAAATTGTAAGGTCCTAGACACCAAGGACCTGCTTTCTAATTTCTTTTATACTCTTTGCAATAGTTTTTTGTTTTATAGATAGGGCAGATAGGGAGCAAAGATAGAGTGACTTGGCTGCCCAGAAGATGTACTGAAGTCAAACACGAGGATGATGAGTAACACGCACCTGCAGTTCACCAGGCCTGAAGCTGGGGGAAGCGAAGAGGTACTGGGGTTCCCGGGCAAAATTTAAGGGGGCACCAAAGAACTTAGTAATCGAGATAAATAATATCTTAATTCAATATGTTTTAAAAATAAAATTATTTTTGTACAAATAATTTAACAAATCCATGATGAGCCAGACATGGTAGCTCTTGCCTGTATTCCCAGAACTTTGGGAGATGGAGGTGGGAAGATCACTTGAGCCTAAGAGTTTGAGACTAGCCTGGGCAACATGGAGAAACCCCATCTCCACAAAAAATACAAAAACTAGCCAGGCGTGGTGGCATGTGCCTGTAGTCCCAGCTACTTGGGGGGCTGAGGTGGGAGGATCACTTGAGCCAGGGAGGTTAAGGCTGCAGTAAACGCTGATGACACCTATGTACTCCAGCCTGGGTGAGAGAGCAGCAAGACCCTGTTTAAAAAAAAATAATCCATGATGAACACAGCACCAAAATTTCAAATAAAGACTGCATGTTTTTGTATGTTTTGTAACTCTGTGTTGTTATATAATGGACGGTCATTTCCAATCAGTTCGAGGTCTCACACCCGTGAAGGCACATCTTCCCTCACCAGGTGATGTACAAAGATTAACAATAGCATGCAAACAGATGGGGTGGTTCTGAGCTTTAGATAGAGCTATGTCCTTTGATTGTAGGGCTTTCATTAACTTTTTATCCTTGGTTCAAAATCTGCAAGGATCTTCTGATAGGGGTAAATAGGGATGCATGTCTTTCCTTTTCCTTGGCTCCTCTGTGATTTTCATGGCAATGCAATCTACAAAGAGCTCCAACATATACCATTTCATTTAATCCCCCAGGAAAAACAAAATCCTATGAGTAGATAGTGTCATTTTCACTTTAGAGAAAAAGAAACCGGACCTCAGATTAAGTTACTAACCCAACAATACTGAGCTGGCCCATAGTGGAGCTGGGATTCCATGAACGTTACCTGACCTAGATCCTCGACTTGGGCCGCCTGTGCAGATTGCCTTTGTAGACACAACCAGGTGCTCTGCCTCTCTCTGCTCAGCTCTGTGCGCTCATGCCCATCTCTGCCATTTCCCCTACCAAGGGTATGTGTGTACTTATGTAAACATATGTGTAAACAGAAGTGTGTGTGCTGTGTGATCTTGTGTGTACATGTGTGTCTGTATGCATGTATTCAGAGTATGAAAAGATGTAAAATATGAGAACACAGGTGCCTGTGGCATCAGAGTGTGTGTTTGCTTGCATGAGTGTATATGTACGTGTGTTTTTGCATACGTGTGTGTACAACGGTGTGCCTATGTGAGCCCATGTGTAACACACGTTTGTGTGAGCATGTGCATACACATGTATGTGTTTGAGTACAAGAAGACATGATGCAGAGACACAAACAGCCCAAAGGAGGGCTGAGGCTGCTGCAGCCTGACAGAGTTTACATCTGACTGCCTTCAGCTCCTGTACGGTGCTGTCCCACTCTCCATCGCGTTTGGAGAGCCGGCATCAGTTCTGGGAGCTCACGGAGGATTTTACTCCCTCCTCCTTCACTGGGAGGAGCCACGGCCACTGCCCTCCCTGCCTCCCTTCTCAGGTTCGGGGAGAAGGCTCAGAATCTTGGCACATGACATAGAATTTGCTAACCCCAAGGCTGTAAGAACAAAACTAACGTGTCATTTGGGGAAACCTCAGTTTGCCCTCTCCAAAGAGAAAGCCTGAAAGACCCCTGCAAATGTTCAGCCTGGCTCTGGGCTGTTGTCCATACAGTAATGGGATTTTTCTTGGGATACATCAGGAATTGTTCCATGTAAGGTAAAACTTTCTCTGAAATGCCCTCTCCTCCCCAAACCCCAGCCCAACATAATAACCTGATGAGTCCTTAAACGGAGGACCACACACTGGCAGCTTTCAGCAATTTTCCTGGCTAAATATTGTTCTAGCCAGTGTTAGTTTTGACAGGATTAGTCATGGATCCTAATATAAGAGTCCCAGGATCCCTGTTGGTTGGAAAGCCTGTTAAAATATTGTTTTATTTCCCTGCAGCTCGTAAGCTCATGGAGCCCTGCGAGGCATTTTCACATATAGTGCTTCTTGGCCAATGTGTTTCAGAACATAGCAGCTGACGGGGTGAGAGGCAGCTGCCTTTCCTGAGTGAATCTTTGCCAGAGAGTGTTTGAAGAAATATCTTTAGGTAGACAAAAGGCTGCCACATAACGTGAGCAGGCTCAGGGGACACTCCTTGGGTCAGAAGTTGGTGCTGCGGGCTTGGTCAAGGTGTGGCAGCCACTCAGCCCTGACCGTGCTGTCTGTGCCTATGGAGTCTTTGATAGACTGGAGCTGGGCAGACCAGAAGGTAAGCACAGCCACAGTGAAGGAAAGCTGTGAGAAGCCAGCTGGTGGGAGCTTCTGGGAGTATGGTCATGTACTTTAAGACAGTGCCATGAAATATGGGCCACGTGGTTATTCTGAAGGCTTGATCCACGCTTCAAACATGACAGTTGACTCTTCCTTCAGCCAGTAGCTATTGTCTCTGTTTCATTTCGCTTTTACCGTATTATCTTAGTTCATTCTGCTTTGCTATAAAGGAATACCTGAAGCTGGGAAATTTATACAGAAGAGAGGTTTCTTTGGCTCATGGTTCTGCAGGCTGTACAAGCATGGCACCAGCATCTGCTCAGCTTCTGGTGAGGTGTCAGGAAGCTTCCCATCATGGTGGAAGGCAAGGGAATGTCACATAGTGAGAGAAGGAGCAAGAAAGAGAGGGAGGAGGTGTCAGGATCTTCTAAACAACTAGATCTTGCGAGAGCCCATACAGTGATAACTCATTAAGTACTATGAGGATAGCACCAAGACAGTAATGAGGGGTCTACTTCCATGACCTAAACACCTCCCACTAGGCCCACCTTTAACATTAGAGGTCACATTTCGCATGAGATTTGGAGAGGACAAAACATCCAAACCATATCACTTGTTATGAAGACTGTAGGGTGGAGTTGGTAGGTGGTTGGACAGCGTGCGGGATCTATGACCATTTTGGGTAATATCCCAGGTTATGGTCTCCAGGTTTTACTGAATTTGCTGGAAAAAATTATGCCTTTCATAAACTAATATTAGTGAATACCTACCTCACGCTCTGTTTTTTTCTTTTAAGAGATGGGGTCTTACTATGTTGCCCAGGCTGAAGTATAGTGGCTGCTCAGAGGCATGATCATCTCACACTACAGCCTTGAACTCCTGGGCTCAAGCGATCCCCCACCTCAGCCTCCCAAGTAGCTGGGACTATAGGCTCCTGCCACCAAGCCCGGGTCCTCTCTATTTTCTTGTAGCATGTTATGTGTCTATTTCTAACATGTTAAGCTGATTAAAAAGACCACAAAACAATGAGGCCAAAATTCTGTAAGTTTTGTGTCATTAATATTTTTTCTAAATAAAACCCACTCAAGTCTTGTTATTTTCTGAGTTTTCATTTCCAGCCTCTCTTATCCTCTAAGCCTTTCCTCATGTCATCTCAAAAATCTCTTCTTCCAATGCTACTCTGACTGTATCATTGCTTGGTTGCTGATTGCCTATCATAATTAGCCAGATTTGTCAGCATGAATGAATGCTCATGTCAGTGTCAGAACAGGCAATACACATTTGTTAAAGGGACAGATGTGTGAATGGGCGCTGATGTTCTGCATGGGTAAGTCCTTCCGCGTGGCTCACCCCTGTTTCTTTCCCACACTGCTGCAACAAGCCTGCCTACAGTTTCCTACCCTGGGATGCCTGCACTAGCATGCACACTGGAGGGCAAGCCTTTACTGACTGGAATGTCTGCACCTGACTATCTGTGCTAGTGGGATCAATGATGGATTCACCACCCGGCTAAGCTTTCCCTGAGTTACCTGGTTGACGATGTTCACTAATCCCATAGCCCCCAGGGCTTGAGAGTATCGTTCACAGCAGAGGAGTTTGCATTTCTTTATGTATGTAGTAACATATTATCTTTTATATGCACTTTACCTGCTTCTTCCTTAGAAGGTAGACTCCTCAGGGCCAGAAATACAGTCCTCTGTTTCTTTTATCCCTCCTCACAGCCTCTGCCAGTGCTCTGCAGCTCAAAGGTCCCTGATAAGCAGAGTGACTTCAGCATTGTAATGAACCAGAGCACAGAGAGAGGCTGTGCAAGCAAAGGGTAGGAGCAGCCCTAGAAGAAGGCACACATTCATTCCTCGGGTTGCAGCCTGTTTACAGAGGGAGAGAATCTCTGCTGCAGTTACCCAGCATCCAGGGGTCCATGCTCTGCCAGCGTCACTCAGCCACGTGAGATGGGGTGATTGGACCAAAGGAGATACATGGTGTTTTATTTAGTGATGGTGGGGCCATTTCTGTTTTTATTTGTTTTTAACTGGGGTATGTGTGTCAGGACCACACAGCAGCAGGGAGAAGCTTCCACCTGCTTGGAACAAAAATGGGAAGGCTGCATTTCCAGGCTGCATTTATCTTATGTGTAGTGTAAGCAGCATCGCTGACTGGGAAAGAAAAAAGGGTAAAGAGCATTATAGATGCCTGATAATTCAGTCCTTAAGAGATGGCTCACTCAATTGCTTGGTTTTGTATTTTCATTTCTTTTCCTGACTGAAAATGGATCTGGAGCCTGAGAGCACCTGATGTTGGGCGAGGCCTCTGGGTACGAGGTGGAAGTTCACATTTCTGGATTATGTGTAGTTTCAGAATGCCTTCTATCTCGGTGTCAGGATAGATGTTAAGATGCAGGAATTCTCATAAATCTTCTCGTTAAAAAGAAGAAAACAACAAAACTTCTCACAGAACATAAAAACCATGTCAGGTGGCCGGGCGTGGTGGCTCATGCCTGTAAACTCAGCACTTTGGAAGTCCAAGGTGGGTGGATCACGAGGTCAGGTATTTGAGACCAGCCTGGGCAACATGTGAAATCCCGTCCCTACTAAAAATACAAAAATTAGCGGGGAGTTGTGGCACACTCCTGTAATCCCAGCTACTCAGGAGGCTGAGGCAGGAGAATCGCTTGAACCCAGGAGGCAGAGGTTGCAGTGAGCCAAGATCATGCCATTGCACTCCAGTCTGGGCGACAGAGCAAGACTGTCTCAAAAAAAACCCCAAAAAAACAAAAAAAACCCATGTCAGGTTGCTCCCCTGAGCAAGGCCAAGCTCAGTTTTCACCTGGTGGTCCCATGGGGAGCTTCCTGTGGCTTAGTGTTTGCGTCTGCCATTTGCTATCCCTCCCCAGCACACCTTCCTGTGGATGGAACTTGCCAGAACTTCCTCAGCAACCCTGAAGAGGAAAGCTGGAGGCCCCAACAGACGCAGAAGTGGGCTGCACTGCTGTGCTTCCATGGGGCAGTCAGGGCTCAGGGCCCCAGCAGCAGGCCAAACCCCAGCCCAGCTCCCTTGCAAACCTCCTCTGTCATGTACCCTGGGAGTCAGGTCCAACCCCACTATGTCACAACTGAGGAAACAGAGGCCCCGAGAAGTTCAGGGAGAGCTGGGGTCAAGATGCTAGATCCTGCCTCTGGGTGTGGTGGCTTTTGTTCTTGTCATCCGGTGGGCACTGGGCCTGCCCCGCACAGCTCCTTCACCCCGGAGAGGTGACAGCAGACTACATTAGGCCCTGCCAGGCCCAAAGACTCCAGCCTGTTAATCTTTAACCAGAGCTCTGGACAAAGGTAGCCCTTCTGACCTCCTGAGAGTTTCTGAATAGCTCGGAGGCTTCTGTGACAGAGCCACACGTTAGCAATGACATATATTTAGTGCAGGGAGGCATGTTGAGTACAGTTCTAAATTCTGTTGTGAATTGTGCCCAGGGAACAAGCACAGAGAACATTTTCACCATGGATATGTATGTACTTGTAAGAAGCAGCTGGGTGGTTCCTTCAGCAATCTGCTGAGCTGTGGCGATTACATCACACACTGGTGCAAAGGCCTTGAACCATTAATGTGCTGCCTCTGCGAGGGTGACCAGGATTCCAGCAATGAACAGAGAAGGTGCTTGTCCCCACTGCTCACTGGGTGCCTTCAGATTCTTAACTTTTGTCTTTTTCTTTTTTCTTTCACTTCTTACCTGTATCTATAAAACAGGACTCTGTTTGCTTTGAAAAGAGCCAGAATGACCTCAGGGGTCAGTGACTCATGCTGTTGGCTCTGTGAACACAATCGAGTGCCCCTTACGTAAGAAGCTCCTGCTATCTGAGGGAAGGGAGGTCCGAGCCATTATTCCTTGGTTATAAACACTCCATGTGGTTTTGTTTGGTGGTTTTAAAAAAGGTGTGTCCACAGGGTTGGTGTTCTAGAATCGTGGGCAGAAAGAAGTCTAGCTCCTTTCATCCAAGGTTCTAAAGGGTTCTCTGAGCTGTAACTCAGCTCTAACTGGACAAAGAGGCAACAATTCCCCTCATTTCCTGTGCGCTGTCACCACAGGAGGCTACACTTAAGGAGGTCAACTCAAGTTGTTTGGACCAAGCTTCCGCAGTTGTTCCCATTATCCTGTTTGAATCCATTCACTCTTACACTGGCCATGCAAATAGACACTCCCCAAGGAAAGAAGGACCTTAGAAAATAAGTGATCTCAGTTTTCATCTGACTTTCTTCTGGGGTGTGGGGCTGGTCATGGGTCTATATTCCCTGCTGTGGTCAGGGCCCTGTGGGACATGTGGCTGTGTCCCAGCCCTCTAGCACAATCTGCCGTCACTCCTGGGCTTTTGTATGCCTGCTCCCATTTGCTCTTATCTCCTCAACAACCACGTCAGGTAGATAATACATACCATCAGTCCCAGTTTACAGATGAAAAAAGTGAGGCACAGGGAGCTTCAGTAACTTGATCAAGACTAGAATTCAGAGAAATAGCCAAACCATGACTCATGATCCTCTTGCTCCAAAGTGCGTTGTCTCCCCCACAGCCCACTATATTTGTTGTTTATTTTTGAAAATGGTCATGAACTCAGCTAAGACGCTGGGGCAGTGGAGCGGAGGGAGAGAGCCTGCTCTTCACAGAGGGCTTATGGGGTGAGAGGAAGGGAAGCTAAGTACAGGGCAGGCCGGGGCCATCTAAGGTGGCCTCTGACCATCCTGGAGAGGCATGGGGCTAGAGAATGAAGAATGAGGCAGAAATGAGCGTTTTTGAACTGGTTTACCGAGCAAGAACTAGAATGGAAGGGGACATATTACAAATGACAAATGCCTGATCCAAAGCCCATGAGATGCTATTGATGAGGGCCACGGACCCTTACTCTGTGCAGACACAGAGGCTTGGATGCACACACTTGCATACACACACACACACACACACGCACTGTTTTGTTTTGCTCTGCTTTATTTTTGCCACTGTGGAATAATAAGAAGTACAGTCACGCATTGCTTAATGATGGGGATGCAGTCTGAGAAATGCATCAGGTGATTTCATTGTTGTTTGAACGTCATAGAGAGTACTTACACAAACCTAGACGGTATAACCTACTACATACCTATACTATATGGGATAACCTATTGCTCCTGTACCAAATACTGTAGGCAATCGTAACACAGTGGTATTTGTGAATCTAAACATATCTAAACACAGAAAAGGTACCATAAAAATGTGGTTAGAAAAGATGAAAAATGGGGCTGGGCGTGGTGGCTCACGCCTGTAATCCCAGCACTTGGGAGGCCAAGGTGGGCGGATCACTTGTGGTCAGCAGTTTGAGACCAGCCTGGCCAACATGGTGCAACCCCATCTCTACTAAAAGTAGAAAAATTAGCTGGGTGTGGTGGTGTGTGTCTGTAATCCCAGCTAGTCGGGAGGCTGAGGCAGGAGAATCATTTGAACCTGGGAGGTGGAGGTTGCAGTGAGCCGAGATTGTGCCACTGCACCACTGCACTCCAGCCTGGGCCACAGAGCGAGACTCTGTCTGAAAAAAAAAAAAATTAAAAAAAAGATGAAAAAAGGTACACGGTCTAGGGTAGTTACCGTGAATGGAGCCTGTGGGACTGGAAGTTGCCCTGAGTGAGCCAGTGAGTGAGCGGTGAATGAATGGAAAGGCCTGGGATGTTACATTACTGTACACTAAATTTATTTTAGCTACACTAAATTTATTAAAAAATAAAGTAATTGCACTATGACATTATGACAACCATGGCATGCATCGCTAAGGGATAGGTATTTTTCAGATTCATTGTAATCTTTTGAGATCACCATCATATGTATGGCCCATCCTTGGCTAAAATGCCATTATTTAGCATATGACTGTACACATATTGGTCTCTGCCCTCAGTTCCTGACACAGAGCTCTTAAAATCCTTGGAGTTTCTTGAGAGATAGGAGTGCTAGTAGCATCTTTTGTTCTAATCGGGCAACTCTGGCTGGGCTCCTAGATAGCCTCGGGATGGGAGTTGGTGGCCAGGGGAACCAACCATGTGATTATAAAGTTGGAACTTTCACCCCCACCCCTAACCTCAGGGGAGGGAAGAGGGGCTGAAGGTTGAGCTGAACATCAATGGCCAATGATTTAATCAATCATGCCTACATAATGAAGCCTCTATAAAACCCCAAAGTACAGGGTTCAGGGAACTTCCAGGCAGCTGAACTCATGGAGGTTTCTAGAGACTCGCACACAAGGAGAGGACATGAAGGTCTGAGCGCCTTCCACATGCCTCGCCCTGTGCCTCTCTTCATCTGTATCCTACATAATATCCTTTATAATACACCAGTAAACACAGCTACGTGACTCTCTGAGTTCTGTGAGCTGCTCTAGCAAATTAATTAAACCCAAGGACAGGGTCTTAGGAACCCAGATTTATAACCAGTCAGAAACCACAAGTAAAATAACCTGGGGCTTGTGATTGGCATCAGAAGTGGTGGAGGTCTTGTGGGACTGAGCCCTCAACCCGTGGGATCAGATGCTATCTTCAGGCAGGTAGTGACAGAAATGAATTGAATTCAAGGACGTCCAGCTAGTGTCTACTGGAAAATCTGTAGAATTGCTTGCTTGCGTGGTGGGGGGACATACCCATACATTGGTGACAGAGGTCACAGAAGTACCCTGTGTTATGAGAGAATAGTAGGAGAAACTGAGTTTATTTTTTCTTTCTCTCACAGAAACTGAAAGGCATTTATCCTCACATTAGAGTATAGCATGCTGAATTGTCTGTCTATAGCTGCAATTCCACCCAAGACTTATGCTAACTTTTAAGATTTTTGTCTCATATCAAAACTGAGAAGACTCTCAAAAGAAACATCACTCAAGCAAAAAACTTTTAAAGCTTTTCAAAATAATCGCAACTCATCCTGCACTTCATAATTCTATCACCATTAGAGTGAATTAATTGTGTGATTATATGTTTGCCTTCCATAGACTGTGAGCTTCATAAAAGTTGGAACCAAGCCTGTCATTCATTTATTCAATAGAGACCTACCGAGTGCCTACATGTGTCAGATACCATTTCACTTGTAGGGCCGCAAGAGTGAATGAAACACGAGATTCCACAGCAGATGGTCTCAATTTCTTTGTGTCACTGACCCCCTGGAATCCCAGCCTACAGTAGGCACTCAATGAATACTTATTGGATAAGAGATGAACACATTTCCAGCTTATTCTTCCCACCCCAAATCTTTCCTTAATAAGAGGTCTGGGTTTTCACACAGCCCTGCTGGAAAGCCCCCTTTGGCCAAACACTGTAGTCTCTGCAGACAGCTCTCAGCCTGTGGCCTGTGGTTAGGCCCACTCTGTCTGATACTCTAAGCACTGGCTGAAGACAGTGACAGAGAAAGGAGAAACAATGCCCCATTCCAGCAGGAGGAGGGAGGAAGGATGAGCAAAGAGGGCTGACCCATTTTTCTTGGCTAACCGTGAAGCTCCCAACTGTGTCCTGGGGCTCTGGCAGGGACCCTGGCGACAGCCCTGACCCCTGCTCTGTGCTGCATTATTCAGCAAGACTGTGACGTTATCACTGTGAGGTGGGTGAGTCATCAACAAAGCTGCTATCCAGAATCTCATGAGCTCAGCCTGAGGGGCTGATGCCAGCCTGTTCACCGACTCTGGAAGACAAAAGGCTATGTTCCCTGCTGGGCTCCCCTTCCCTGCTCCTGGGACCCTGGGCAGGTCCCTCTCTATAGGGGTGATGGTAAAGGAACCTGAGCTTTAATAAGGGAGAAATGTGTGTCCAGTATGGGAGCTGCCGCTGTCTGAACAAATATGGAATCATAATCAAGTCCAATCTTGGTTTTTAAATTTGGAAATGGGTATAATAAGATTTATCCCAAGACGTTGTTGAAAGGTTATTTGTACTGCATCTGGCACTTCATACATGATTGGTGTTATTTCCCAGGCATCTCAATTGAGATCCTACACAGTTTCATGCTCATGATAACTGCAAATCATAAATCATAATCTTATTCCTATCTCTTCCTGTACATCATGGCTGGGGGACAGAGGAATAACCCACTCCAAACCCCTATATGCTTCCTCTTTGGGGAGAGGAAGGCACAGTGTGTCCTATTTGGTCCTGTAGGTGTTGGGTTAGCTCCACTGCAAACCCCACATTTGAACACAGCCAGCCTGTCTGCAGCCTGGCAGAGTTTCCTGTCTTCCTCACTGCCTATGCCACTTCTCACCCTTTCTACTCCTACTCTTTCTCCATGTTCCTCACTCTTATCTGAACTCCATGAATTTCCTTTCCTGCCTTTAGAAATTTCTCCTACTTGGCTGGGCGCGGTGGCTCACGCCTGTAATCCCAGCACTTTGGGAGGCCGAGATGGGCAGATCACAAGGTCAGAAGATCGAGACCATCCTGGCTAATATGGTGAAACCCCGTCTCTACTAAAAATACAAAAAAATTAGCCAGGTGTGGTGGCAGGCACCTGTAGTCCCAGCTACTCGGGAGGCTGAGGCAGGAGAATGGGGTGAACCCAGGAGGCGGAGCTTGCAGTGAGCCGAGATCGCGCCACTGCACTCCAGCCTGGGCAACTGAGTGAGACTCCATCTCAAAAAAAAAAAAAAAGAAAAGAAATTTCTCCTACTCTGTGCATATTCCTCTTGGGCACCTGACTTCTTCCTTCTTGACTTAGAGGAAGAGATGCTCCTCTGTAAAATCTCACATGAACCTTGCTGCCCTTCCAGGTCCCCTCGTTTTCTGCTAAGAGACTTGTACTGACCATAGTGCTTCCTAAGGTGTAGGCCACAGCCACTGTATCAAGGACCATCTGGGTTTCTTGTTAGCAGGCAGATTCCCAGGTTTTGTTCTCATTTGCTCAAATAGAATGGGGGTCTGGGATTCTGGGTTACATTTGAAAAATTCTCTTTTTTAAAAAAGTGCAGTGGCTCACGCTTGTAATCCCAGCACTTTTGGAGGAGGACATGGTGATGTATGCCTGTAGTCCCAGCTGCTCAGAAGGCTAAGGTGGGAGAATTGCTTAAGCCCAGGAAGTCAAGGCTGCAGTGAGCCATGTTCACACGACTGCACTCCAGCTAGGGTGACAGAGTGAGACTCTGTCTAAAATAAAATATGTATGTGTGTGTATATATATATATGTGTGTGTGTGTGTGTGTGTGTATGTATTCTTAAAATAAATTTTTACGGAGTCTCGCTCTGTCGCCCAGGCTGCAGTGCAGTGGCACAATCTCGGCTCACTGCAAGCTCCGCCTCCCAGGTTCACGCCATTCTCCTGCCTCAGCCTCCTGAGTAGCTGGGACTACAGGCGCCCACCACCACTCCTGGCTAATTTTTTTTTTTGTAGTTTTAGTAGAGACAGGGTTTCACCATGTTAGCCAGGATGGTCTCGATCTCCTGACCTCATGATCCACCCATCTTGGCCTCCCTAAGTGCTGGGATTACAGGCATGAGCCACTGCGCCCGGCCTTTAATATACTCTTAAAATAAAATTTTAAATTACGTAAGTGGCACAGCACTGCAACCAAAGCCTGTACACATTGTCACAAATCTCTCACCACCAGTCTCTATCCACTTCTCCCCAGGTATCCGAAGTCAACAGACATATTTATCTGTCCACATCCTTGTGATTCCTCAGACAAGTCTACATTCACACAGAGAGTAAAAATCATATTGTGGATTTTTACAGAATTGGGATATGTTGTATTAATTACTCTGTCAGTTGCCTTTCTTTTCTACCAATACATCAGGGACATCCCTCCAGGACAATAGATATGGAGCTACTTCATTCTCTTTAATAGTCGTATAATATTTTGTAGTATAGAAGGACACAGTTGATCAAACCATCCCTCCAGTTATGAGTATTGAGGCTGTTTCTAATTTGCATCTGCTTTGTTATTTGTTATCATAAACAATGCTGTTTGTGTATATACTTTATGGGCTTTTATTTCTGTAGAATAGAGTCATAAAAACAGGATAGTTCTGTAAAAGGATATATGTCATTTTAAAACAGATATTGTTGCATTACTTTCCCAAATTGGAACAATTTCTATTTCCCCTAGCAATACACACCATTGCCTATTTCTTGCCTTTATGAAAACATTCAGCATTTTATTCTTTTCTTTCTTTTTTTAAGGTTTGTCAATCACATGCAAAGAAGATATTTTCACTTGTTGCTTTATTTTATATTTTCCTCATTCTCAGTGAAGGCATGTATTCCTATGTTTACTAAACTTTTGGATTTATTCTGTGAAAAGCCTATTCTATCTTTTTACTATTTTCTTACTGAGCTTATCTTTCTCTTGTGAATTTGTAGAAGTTCTTTGAATATTATGCATATGAATCCTTTTCCTATTATGAGTGCCGAAGATATTTTCTTTCTTTTTATTTATTTATTTTTTTTGAGGCAGAGTCTAACTCTGTCATCCAGGCTGAAGTGCAGTGGTGCAATCTCGGATCACTGCAACCTCCGCCTCTCACGTTCAAACAATTCTCATGCCTCAGCCTCCCGAGTAGCTGGGATTACAGGTGTGCACCACCACGCCTGACTAACTTTTATATATTTTTTTTTAATAGAGACGACGTTTTCCCATGTTGGCCAGGCTGGTCTCAAACTCCCTACCTCAGGTGATCCACCCAACTCAGCCTCCCCAAATGCTGGGATTACAGGTGTAAGCCACTGTGCCGGGCCCAGATCTTTTTCTATTATCTTAATTTACATATTTTTTAAAAAGTCATATAAAAACTTATTTGTATTTAGACAAATATGACTGGTCTTTTCTATCTGGCTTAGAAAGATCTTCCATACCATAAGATTTGACAGAAGTTCTTCTTAGTTAAAAACAAACATGTATTACTTGTAGTTTATTTCTAGTATTTAAGTCTTGAATCCTTTGGAATTTATTTCTGTGTATTATGTGAGGTGGAAGTTTAGCTACTTTTTTCTTCCTGATGAAGAGCTAATTATGCCAGCACCATTTATTATTAAAGCAATTCTTTTCTCTCTAAATCAAAATATCGCCTTGGTTGTTGATATCTCTTAAATCTATTTCTAGTTTCCAATATCTTTTGCCCGTGCATTGGACTATCCTTGTGCCTTTAGCAAACTTCCCTACATGATAGTAACTTTACAGTGATTTTATTATCGGACAAACAAGGAGACAATCTGCGCCTCTGCAGGCTGCTGTGGTGAGTCTCACTTATGGAAGGTGTGATTTGGGGCAAGGTGGATTAATTTCTGCACTGAGAGATGCAGTTTCTTTATCTGGAAAATTTAAGGCAAAAGCTCTGGCTCTCTCCCAGGGTGGCTGTAGGATGCCGTGAGCATCCCTTTCCTTCTCTGGTGAGTACCAGTACTCACCCTGCGCTTGGCCTGCCCCATTGTCAGGAGCTGCTTTCCCCAGGTGGGAAAAAGCAGTGAGCCATGTTCACACCACTGCACTCCAGCAAGGGCGAAATAGCGAGACCCTGTCTGAAATATGTATATAATTGGTATCTATATATAGAGATACATATATATCCTTAAATATATATAGATACCTATATATATTCTTAATATATATATAAATATATAATATATATTCTTAAAATAAATTATATATATATATATATATATTTTTTTTTAGATGGAGTCTCACTATGTTGCCCAGGCACAATCTCGGCTCACTGCAACATCTGCCTCCTGGATTCAAGCAGTTCTCCTGCTTCAGCCTCCTGAGTAGCTGGGGTTATAGGCATGGGCCACCATACCCTGCTAATTTTTGTATTTTGAGTAGAGATGGGGTTTTGCCACATTGGCCAGGTTGGTCTCGAACCCCTCACCTCAGGTGATCTGCCCTCCTTGGCCTCCCAAAGTGCTGGGATTACAGGCATGAGCCACCACGCCCGACCAAATTACATATATATATATTTATATTTATATATATTTATATACATTTATATATTTATATATAAATATTATATAATATTTTAATATTATAAAATATATTAATAATATATATTATATAATATATATTATTAATATTTATAATATATATTATATAATATATATTATTAATATTTATAATATATATTATATTATATATATTATATATTATATATTATATTATATATATTATATATTATATATTATATTATATAATATATAATATATATATTATATAATATATATTATATATATTATATTATATATATATATTCTTAAAATAAATTTTAAAATTACTCAAGTGGCACAGCACTGCAACCTAAGCCTGTGTACATTGTCACCAATCTTTCATCACCAGTCTCCATCCCCTCTCTCCAGGTATCCAAAGTCAACAGACTTCTATCTATCTATCCTTTTAAACAGGCCCCAGGAGAGGCCTACCTATTTCTGTGCAGGCTCCTTCTCAGCCCTTCCCTCCCCTCTTTGGGCCTCTTCTGCATCTTCAATGATCATCTCTAAGCTGATGACACCATGATCATCCCTGTTACCGGAAAAAGGTCCTGATCCAAACCCTAAGAGAGGGTTCCTGGACCTCACACAAGAAAGAATTCAGGTCAAGTTCACAGAGTAAAGTGAAAAGGAGCTTATTAAGAAAGCAAAGAAAAGAATGGCTACTCCATAGGCAGAGCAGCCCCAAGGGCTGCTGGTTGGCTATTTTTATGGTTATTTATTGATTATATGCTAAACAAGGAGTGGATTATTCATGAATTTTCTGGGAAAGGGGTGGGCAATTCCTGGAACTGAGGGTTCCTCCCCTTTTTAGAGGATGCAGGGTAACTTCTAGACATTGCCATGGCATTTGTAAACTGTTGTGGCAGTGGCAGGAGTGTCTTTTAGCATGCTACTACATTATAATTAGCATATAATGAGCAGTGAGGTCACTTTCACCACCATCTTGGTTTTGGTGGGTTTTGCCCAGCTTCTTTACTGCAGGCTGTTTGATCAGCAAGGTCTTTCTGGCCTGTATCTTGTCCCAACCTCCTACGTCATCCTGTGACTTAGAACTCCTAACCGCCTGGGAATGCAGCCCAGTAGGTCTCAGCTTCATTTTACCCATTCCCTATTCAAGATGGAGTTGCTTTGGTTCAAATGCCTGTCACATCCCCGACCCTGACTCCTCACATAAGTTCGTTCTTAACTTTTTTTTTTTCTCCCAGACAGCGCCTAGCTCTGTCACCCAGGCTGGTGTGCAGTGGTGCAATCATAGCTCACTGTAACCTCAACCTCCTGGGCTCAAGCAATCCTCTGGCCTCAGCCTCCCAAGTAGCTGGGACAATAGGCATGTACCACTATGCTCAGTTAATTGTTGTTTTGTTTTGTTTGTAGAGATAATGGTCTCACTTTGTTGCCCAGGCTGGTCTCGAACTCCTGGCTTCAAGTGATCCTCCCACTTCAGTCACCCAATTCTAACTTATTATTATTTTTTAACTATTATTTTAGTTTACAGAGTTTTTCCTTAGTTATTTATGTTCTTCCTTCTTCCAAATAGAATTTGAAGTGTCTCAGACTTGGCTTCCAGGCTGCCTGCTGAGTACCCCGACCAGAGCCTCTTGCAGTCCAAGTTCACTTCATGAAAAGCTCACACTTCCCAGACACTCACCTCTTCCAGTATTATTCACCAGCCTGGTACAAGCAGCCTGCTGGTCACTCAGAGTAGATGCCTCATGCCCCCCCCCCCCCAGCCAACTGGGCACAGTGTCCTGTTGAATCTCCATCCACAGCCTCTGTCTGTTAAGCATCTCTCTAAACCCACGGCTCTGCCTTCAGCTGGGGCCCTCAGCAACCTCCACCACATGACTGCAGCCAGCTTCTCACTGAGGACCCCGACTATGCCACACCTCTTTGCTGGCAACCTACAGCTGCTTCCACACCCTCTTGCCAGAAACCTACAGCTGCTTTCATGGCCAATCCCACCATACCACATCCCTGAGCAATAATATTCTAGAGGTCCCTACTGCCTATAAACACCACTCAAACTTCTTAGAACGGCATAGGAACCTCTCCAGTTTCTGGCTGCACAACCATTTTTTGGTTTGTTTTCTATTTGTGAGACTATTTTGCTCAAATGTGTTTACAAGTGATTTAAAAAAAAAAAGAGAAACGCCATTGAAGGAAGTTTATAAACATAATGGGAAAATGCAAAGGTGATAAACATGTTCCTCTCCAGGTAGGCACTGCAGCTAATGAGCACCACTCCAGGGGTGTGGAGGCCTGAGGTGGGAATCACAGTGATCTTGCTCAAGGCTGGTCTCAGCAAGGCCCTCCAGGAGAAGAGCTTGCCTGGAGCATAAGCTCTTCTCTTTCCTGCTACAAAGGTGCAGGTTCAAAGGGCTCTTTTGTTTGAACAATTAGGTGAGCAGGAAGGCAATTAACAGGCCACTCAAAGTAAGTGAAAGGCAAAGGAACTGAAGCTGCAGTCCTATTAAAGAATAACAGATAACAGGTGAAGATTAGCAGGGGCAAGTTCCTATTAATAACACCACCTATTAATAGCAGCAGTCTCTGACCGAGTGTATTGTCCCCAGGTTCTGTGCTAAACATGCAAAAAGCATTGTCTCATTTAATCATCACCACAGGCCAAGCAGGTGGGACATGCGCTCGGAATTGCTGTGGGTGTGAAATCACTCACCCTGCTCTCACACTGGAGCTTGGGGCTCAGCCATTCTAGTGCCAGTGTGTGTCCCATGATTTCAGACTGCCTTTCTGCAAAAGCTGAGAAGACAGCTTCAGTCCGTACGGTGATAAAGCGTATGTGGAGAAGAGAATCTTTTTTCTAATTTGCAAGGTTGCTCCCAGCATACAGAGCTGGGACTTTCCACTCTTATACAAATCAGCCCATCCTTCTCATCTGCTTTTCAAAATTGTACCTCCTGGGCTCTCCCAGGAATAAGAAACCAGCTTTTTATGGAGTCATGCAATTCTTCAAGACTTTTTCCTCAGCAATACAAAGACCAGGCAGCCAAAGCTTGGAAATGACCAAGTCACTGTTTGTATGAACTCAGTTACATTTTTAAATACTTTAATTGATGCATAGCGATTGTATATATTCATGGAGTACATAGTGAGGTTTCCATACCTATAATGTATAGTGATCAGATCAGGGTAATTAGCATATCCATAATCTCAAACATTTACTTCTTTGTTTTGGAAACATTCAATATCCTAGCTATTCGAGACTATAGAATATATTACTGTTAACTACAGTCACTCTACATTGGCATAGAACTCTAGAACTTATTCCTCTCATCTAGTTGTAATTTTGTATCTTTTAACAAATCTCTCCCTATCTCTCTCAGTTACATTTTTAAGGCAAACCCTTCATTCTGAGTATGTGTCTGAGAATGGCAGTAGAGTAGTTCTCTTTTCCTCTGTTATGTTTAGATTCTTGAGGTGTGCATTTACTTTAGAATGCATGACAACTCTTAGTCACTGCAAAGATAATAAGTTGTAGTCATGTAGCAGGACGAGCTGCAGACAAAACTCCTCAGACACTGGGTTAAAGAAGGAAGGAGCTTTATTTGGTCTGGAGCTTCGGCAGACTTGCATCTCAAAAGCCGAGCTGCCCGAGTGAGCAATTCCTGTCCAAGGGCTTACAACTCTAAGAGGGTCTGCATGAGAGGGCTGTGATCAATTGAGCAAGCAGGGGGTACGTGACTGGGGGCTGCATGCACCGGTAATTAGAATGGAACAGAACAGGACAGGGG
Organism: Homo sapiens; assembly: GCF_000001405.40. Lineage (NCBI taxonomy): Eukaryota > Metazoa > Chordata > Mammalia > Primates > Hominidae > Homo > Homo sapiens. The sequence continues at coordinate 228,850,539 of NC_000001.11, forward strand.
TTTTCACAGTGCTTTTCTATACAATGCCTGGAATCTATAGATAACACAAGTAGTTAGGTCAGAGGTTGATTTTTAACTACCAGGGTGTGTGCCAGGCTATCTGTCTGTGGATTTCATTTCTGCCTTTTAGCTTTTACTTCTTCTTTCTTTGGAGAAACGCCCAGAAACTGGGCGTAAGACACTATGAGGAGTGGTCTCCTCCCTTAGTCATACCTACATTCTTACTTTAATAAAACTGCACTTTCATGGGAAAAGCATTTTTTTTCTGGTTTTCATATTAACTGGCTTGGGCTGAAGTTATGCTTAGGAAAGCTTGGACAGTCGGTTGTTGCAACCAGACCCAAGGAGGCCTTGTCTGCCTGGGCTGCATGAATGAGGAACTGGGGACAGGTATTGAGACTGGAGAGGTGGGAATCAGATATTCCAAAGCCTAACCTCCTTAGTGAAGCCTACAGATCGCCTGTTCCTACAGGCTTCATAGCCAGAATGCCTTTCTTGGCAGATCAATTGTCCTTCTTTGGAATCATTTTAAAAGCTCTCCGGCTACTTCATCCTCTCCAGTTATCACTGGATCTTTTAAAGGACTCTGAAATGCACACTGAGTAGCAGTCAGCCTCATTTCACTTACAAAAATGGGTTCCTGAGATTTTGCTGTTTATGGATATTTTGTAAATAGAATCCGTTTAAAGGCACTAGAGGAAATTTCTATTTAAATGAATCCTCCTGGGAATCCCTTTGCATTGAAAATGTGAATTGATCTGTTCCATAACATGGATCTGTCAGATTTTCTCAGGGTGGCCTTGCAGTGCGGCACCCCAGGGAAGAATTACAGTAGAGTAATGGAGCGACTCCAGGCTGGCGGCCTCTGCTTGTGTTCCCGCCATCTGTAGCAAAGGATGCCTCAACCTGGGCAGCAGGATTGGGATGTGAAACATAAAATGTGCTGTGACATCAAATATACAATTCTGACAGCCTCCTACTCATTTAAAAGATTTCTTGTTAGGTTTTTAAGTCCTTTGGGAGGATCCTTCTATCCTCTTACACAAGGAATGCTACTCTTGATGCAATTAATCTGAAAGAGGATTTAAAGACAATTTCTATGCCAGGGCTTCCGCTGTGTGAAGCCAACATTAGGTTCAAGTGTGCGATAACATTCGACATGGCTTACATGGTAAGTGTATGTTTCCAAGAGGGACTATTAAACTGAAGTGGATTAAAGACAGCTCAATTTTTTATAACCATTTCCTCACTTGAGTATTTTTATACTTCCCTGCCTTCACCAGAAGGAAGCCACAAATCTCCTCAACAGTTGTTAAGCCATTGTGAACAAATTCTCAAGCTGCATTTTTATATCATCCCCCTCCCCAGGTTCAAATCTGACAACTGGGGATGCTGCTGTGGACTCGGGTATTAGCCAGGGCTCAGTCACGTGTGAGTGAGAGATGAGCTCCTCCAGGAGGGGAAAGCGGGAGCAGGCCTTGCTGCTCCCCAAGCCCCACACCCCTAACCCCTATACCCCACACAGAACAACACACACAACAGGCGCATACATCCCAACACACACAGACACACACACCCCACCACACTCACACCCCCCAACACACACAGCAACACACACCCACCACACCACACACAGACATGCACACTCACAGGTACACACTCCCAACACACACACACTGATGAGACAGCCAGGTGGGAAGGGCTCCCTGGCAGGCCCTCTGACTGGCCTGTGCACTGGTAGGAGTGCACGCTGGGGTGGAGCATGGGGAAGTTCACGTCTTTGAGGGGGAGGAGCCTGGCCCCTCCTTTTCCTGGGTGGAAACTGGGATTCAATCTGCGGGGTGGGAAGCACACTAGCAGGGACTCTGGCTTTGCCCAGGGCCCCGTTTCCCTTTTGCCCAATACATTCCACTTTTTCTCACCCTTCAAAGTGTCTGCAAGCCTAATCTCTCATGGCCGTGTGACAAGAACCCAGCTCTTAGCTGAACTAAGGAAAAAGTCCTACAACACTGACACATACACCAACACAAACACACCCAGCACACAGACCAACACACACACACACACACACACACACACAGGCATCCCTGCCACACATACACTCACCCCGAAGCAAACGCACACACCCCACACATGCCTCCCATCACACACTCATACACACCCTCCCCAAGCACTGTCAGAAGGCCCACCCAGGATACCTGGAGCATTCCCTTGGCTGGGGGCCATGAGTTGAGATGGACTAAGTGCAAGTCCCCATCCTGAGAGTGCAAGCCAACCCTGAGAGGTCATTTGCAGAGTCAAGAATGACTCCAGTTGGGTTTCGTGGTGCATGTGTGTAATCTCAGCATTTCAAGAGGCTGAGGTGGGAGGACAGCTTGAGGCCAGGAGTTTGAGACCAGCCTGGTCAACATAGTGAGACCCTGTCTTTAACACTTTTTTTTTTTTTTTTTTTTTAGTTTTAATATTCTGGTGACCTGGAAGCTTAATTACTAAATATCTTTTTCTTTTGTCAATTGCATTGTCATTACAATGTGTCAAAATAATAAATTATATAGTTCAAACTTTGACAGATTTAAATAAAAGACAAAATTAAAATTTAATTCAAAATATTTTCCTTAAGGAAAGATTCAATCTTCTAAAAAATCATTAGTAAAGGTATTTATGAATGATCCTATGTTAGAATGAGACACATTTCAGCATTAGTTAGGTAAAGAGTACCAAACACCAGCCATACAAAGGGATGGAAACGAGTGAAAGGAGTTGCAAATTCCCTTCAATTCTTTCAACTCTCTCTGAGCTATATACAAAAACATTACATGATTACATAACAATTTAACAGCAAACATTATTTGTAATGCTCTATTAGCATACAGGATAAGATCCAATTGTGTAAAGGAAAAAAGAATCCCACCCTACCTCTCTCCCAGTCATTCCCTTAAATGATCTTTTAGGCATCTGGGAGGTTTATATTCCTGGGAAACAATGTATCAAGCGGGATGGTGGAAGCACAGCTCTGTGCAGGGTGGTAGCAAAAAAGAATCCCACCCTCTACAGGCACATCTCAGGCAGATCCATTTTAGGAAAAGTACTTCTGGAAATTGGGGATTTGGAAGTAGATTCCTTTAAAGTGCTTAGGTGCCTGTGTAGGCCTTGGGAAGTCTTCCATTTCCTCCAGGAGTCTGCACACTGCTGTTCAAAGATTGCTCTAGGAAGTTTTCCATTTGAGATAGGTAAGGATTAGTCAGAAAATACGATACAAACTACAAGGTTGTTAATGTAGACATTACTCCACCTTGACCTGATGTGCCACTTAAAGCCACACAAATAATAGTTATCTGTTTAGCACATACTGTACATGGCTTTGCAGATTCTATCTGTGTCTGTCTGTGTATGTGCAAATCTCATATTGACATAGTCTAATGCTGAGTTCAAACTGAATTCAGAACCTGAGTTTGTGATGAACTGATGGGGATCCTGAGCCAGTGAAATTTGCAGATTAAAACTAATGACCTCGTTAATATCCACAGGCCAAGGAGGCCTGAGGACAATATGTTCTTACTTACAAAAGCTGTATAAAAAGTTGTTATTTCCATGTTATAGATAGAAAACAGAAGCACAGAGAAGTCAGGTCATTTGCCCAAGATCACAAAGCAAGTGAGTAGTAGAATAGACATTTAAACAAATTGGACTTTTAATGTTATGGAAGGCAACCTTAGAAGACGGTCTCAGTGGGCAAGTCTGAGACTCACCACTGGGGGATTATTTTGCCCCGATTTCACTGCACCATCTGCTCGTGCAGGTATGCAAAGGAAGGTCACACACATCAGGGAGTTCTGAATTTCAATTTTATATCTGAGGAAAGATAGCGTTGCAAAGCAGCTGATTTAAGACCATCTGATGACAACCAAATCAAGAATAACTTAATAATTAGTCATTACAAAGTACTAACTGCTTACTCATTTTGGAAGTGATATAATGTAATGGCTAATGATAAGGAAACTGGAATCATTGCTTGGGTTCAAATCTCAAATCTACTGTTAATAAGCTCTGTGACCTTTGATGAGTTACTTAACTTTTCTGTTTTTCAGTTTTCTTATTTTGAAAATAGGCAAAATGATAGCATCCAGCTCATGAAATTATTACAGAAATTATATAAAATAGCACAGATAAAGTGTTTGGAAAAGCATGTGGCTAACACATAGAAAGCACTCAATAAATGCAAGTTACTGTTAGGAAAATATTAGAAGAAACTTTTAAAAATTATTTAGTTTTTAACAATTAGGGTAAAATATGTGTAATGTAAAATTTACCACATTAACCATTTTTAAGTCTGCAGTTCAGTGGCAGACTCCCTATTCCTAACATCACTCTGGCTCTTTTCCGTATCTATAAATTTGACTAAGTATCTCATATAAATGGAATTATACATCATTTGTCCTTTTGTGACTAGCTTATTTCATTTAGCATAATGTCTTCAAGGTTCATCCATGTTGTAGCACGTGTCAGAATTTCCTTCCTTTTTAAGGCTAAATAATAGTCCATCATATGGATATACCACATTTTGCTTATCCATTCATCTGTCAATGCACACTTGGGTTGCTTATAACTTCTGGTTATTGTGAAATAATGCTGCTATGAAAATGAATCTACAAATATCTTTTTATGTCCCTGCTTTGAATTCTTCTGGGTGTACATCCAAGATGTGAAATTGCTGGATTACATGGTAGTTCTATTTGTAATTCTCTGAGGAACTGTCGTAGTGTTTCCCATAATGACTATACTTCGTTACATTCCCAGCAGCAGTACACAAGGATTCCAATTTCTCCACACCCTAGCCAATACTTGTTATTTATTTTTAAATGTTTTAAAAATAACCACACATCCTAATAGATGCATGGTGATACGTTGCTATGGTTTTTGATTTGCGTTTCCCTAATGATTAGTGATGTTGAACAGCTTTTCCTGTGTTATTGTATTTCTTTTTGTTGTTTGAATGTGTTTAATTTCCACAAATGTGTGAATTTTCCGGTTTTTACTTCTGTTATTGATTTCTAACTTCATCTTGTTGTGATCAGAGAAGATTCTTTGTATGAAATATTTTTAAATCTACTGAGACTTAATTTATGACCTTGCATATGGTATATTGTGGACAATTTCCCATATGCACTTGAAAAAAAGGTATATGCTGTTGCTGGGTAGAGTGTCCTGTAGATCAGGGGTCCCCAACCCCTGGGCCGTGGAGCCGTGCCACAGCCTGTTAGGAACCAGGCTGCACAGTAGGAGGTGAGCAGAGGATGAGCGAACATTACTGCCTGAGCTCCACCTCCTGTTAGATCAGCGATGACGGCATGAGATTCTCATAGAAGCGCGAACTCTGTTGTGAACTGCACGTGTGAGGGACCTAGGTTGAGCGCTCCTCATGGGAATCTAACTAATGCCTGATGTTGATCTGAGGTGGAACAGTTTCATCCCAAAACCATCCCCCATCCCTGGTCTGTGGAAAAATTGTCTTGCATGAAATTGGTCCCTGGTGCCAAAAAGGCTGGGGACCACTGTTGTAGATGGCTGTTAGACCTGATTGGATTATTGTATTGTTCAAGACCTCTGTTTCCTTGCTTATCTTCTGTCTGGTTGTTCTATCCATTATTGAGGTGGGATATTAAAGTCCCCAACTATTATTATAGAACTGTCTATCTCTCCCTTCAGTCTGTCCATTTTTGCTTTATATGTTTTGAAAGTTTGTTATTAGGCACATAAATGTTGATAATTGTTATATACTCTTGCTGTATTGGAACTTTTATTAATATATAATGCCTGTATTGTCTTTTGTACCCTTTTGTGACATTAAGTTTGACTTAAGACTTTATTTGACTTAAATTCTAGTTTAGTTACCCTATTCTCTTTGGTCACTATTTGCATGGAATATCTTTAACCTTCGACCTATTTGTGTCTTTGGATCTAAAGTGGATCTCTTATAAACATCATATAGTTGGATCCTGTGTTTTCTATTTATTCTGCCAATTTCTGTCTTTTGATTGGAGAATTTAATCCTTTACATTTGAAGTAATTACTGAAAAGGAAGGACATACTTCTGTCATTTTGCTATTTGCTTCAGAGATTTTTGTTCTGCATTACTGTCTTTTGTGTTTAGTTGACTTTTTTGTAGTGAAAGATTTTAATTCCCTTCTCATTTCCATTTGTGTATATTCTATAGCTATTTTCTTTGTGGTTACCATGGGGATTACATTTAACATCCTAAAGTTATAACACTCTAATGTGAATTTATACCAGCTTAACTTCAACATGTGAAAACTCAGTTCCTATACAGTTCTAGCCCCACTCCTGTTCAGTTATTGATGTCATAAAATTATGTCTTTATGCATTGTATGCCCCCAAACAAGTTAATAATTATTTCTTATGCATTAGTCTCTTAAATCATGCAGAAAACAAAAAGTGGAGTTACAACCCAAAAGTTACAATGATACTAGCTTTTGCAATTGTCCATGTATTTACCTTTACCAGAGATCTTTACTTTTTCATATGGTTTCAAGTTACTGTCTACCATCTTACCATTTCAACCTAAAGGATTGTCTTCACTGCAGAGCAGGTCTAGTGGTAGCAAACTCGCTCAGCTTTTGTTTTTCTGGGAATATCTTAATTTCTCCCTCATTTTTGAAAGACAGTTTTGGCAGCTATAGGATACTTGGTTGACAGTTTTTTTCCCTAAACACTTTGAATATATCAACCCACTCACTGCCTTCTGGCCTCAAAGTTTTCTGATAAGAAATATACTGGTAATATTATTGGAGAAAATATGACGAAGGCTGTCTTTCTCTCAGCTTTATAGATACTAATAATGTATCTTATTGTTTGGTACATAACAGAACATTTTCTATAGTATTATGATATAAGTTGTAGTATAATTTTGAGACCAATTATTTAGAGTTTAAAGAAAAAGGAATTGAATATTTTAAGAGTAGACATTATGAGCTCTTTAAAATTCAAAAAATGTTACAGATTGACAAGCTGTCATTGAAATTAAAAGCATCATACTGGTTTTAATTTCTAAGGTAAATATCAATCACTATAACCCACATAAAAAAACCTTGAGTTTTCTTAAGAGCAAAGAGTTCTTCAGATTAAAAATTAAGAAAACTGCTATGAATTATGCCCAGTCAACATAGGTCTATGTCTTGCTTTGACCTCATAAGGAGCCATTGTTAGAGAATTCCAAACACTTATATAAGTTCTTGACTGGGCCTAGGTTTTTGATCCTTTTAGCTCAGCAAGCTGGTGTTTGATGACCTGAGGGACTTTGACCACAGTTAGCTTGTTTGCCCTTGATTTTTTTTCTATTTTGTTATTTTTCCTTTTCTTCTCTCCATATTTTTTCTTATTCTTTTAAAATTTGTTTCTTTATTTTTTAGTTGTATTTTCTTATCTTTTTCTTTGTTCTTTCTTCCTTTTTCTCATATGATGGCCTTTCCATGGGTGTGTGGAGCCTGAGAGTCATTCTCTACCTGATGACCACTGGTCCCTGCCTTTTGTGGGAGAGGACTTTGAGGAGCCGCAGGATCCTCTCTCCCTTCACTTTACATACAGTATGAAGATCCTGAGCTCCGTAGAGCCCTATGAGATGGTGCAGGAGATGAGCCAGGTGACTCAAGCAGCTGCACATGGGAGCGACGCAACCAGCACAATTTGCTGTGTGTACAGGGCATGCCCTGCTGAGAGGGATTTTGTAGAGAAGGAATACAGGTGTGCAAATTGTTGTGGCAGAGTTGTCTTCATGGGGTCCAATTTATGAGGGTATCTGGCACCTCCATGTCCTTCAAAAATCATGTGTCCAAAGTAAATGCTGAGCTTAAATTCTAAAGGACACCAGAGGCCACCTGGGAGACAGGAAAGGAAGTCCACCTGGTCCTAGCTGCAGGCTGGCCCTCTGCCCCGACCTGGGGAGCTTGAGACTGGACTATTTCTCGAGGCACCTCTCCAACTCATGTTCTTCTCTCTTTTTTCTTCTGTGTTTGTGGGGGAACAGAGATGGTTTTCATAAATTACTTGACTTCATTTCTTCCAAATCTTGTAATGAAATTGATGCTCCAGGAAGACACACCATTATTCTGCTGTTTTGCATCCTTCCTGCCCAGAAATGGGGCTGTGGGTACTCCAGTTTGAAAAGCATGTAGTAGTACAGCACTTGGAGTTAATCAGAAAAAGTAAAGAAAAAAATGACTTAAGAGAATTATCATGATCCCCATCAAAAGCAGCTAATTATTCAAAGTAGCAACTGAAGGATTTTTATAAAGGGATATTAAAAGTGGTTCTGAACAGATACGTCTGTATTTGTCAGGCTTCTCCAGAGAAACAGACCCAGTAGGAGATATGTATATATATGAAAGAACAGATTTACTATGGAAATTGGCTCACACAGTTATAGAGCCTGAGAAGTCCCACGGTATGCAAGCTGGAGAACCAGGAAAGCCAGTAGTGTAATTCAGTCCAAGTTCAAATGCCTAAGAACGAGGGGAGCTGATGGTGTAGCTCTAACTGGAGGCTGAAGGCCTGAGGGGAGTTTGAGGGACAACCAGGGGCTCCAATGTCTGAATACCATAGAAGATGGACATCCCAGCTTCAGAAGAGAAAGAATTCACCCTTCCTCCACCTTCTTGTTCCATATGGACCCTCATTGGATTGGATGATGCCTTCCCACATGGAGAGAGAGAGATCTTCTTTGCTCTGGCTGATTCAAATGCTGTCTCTTCTGGAAACCCTTTACAGACACACCTAGAAATAATGTTTCACCAGCTCTTTGGACATCCCTTATCCCAGTCAAGTTGACACATACAATTAAACATCATAAGCTCTGAGCCTTACTGCAGGGCAGAAATGCAGAAATTGTGTGCATTACCTTTCTACACAAACTTTCTTAATACTTTCAGAAAAACTAAGGAGAACTTTAGGCCCCATTGGCCTGTGTCAATTGTGGCTGAGAAGTCTGCAACAGGATAATGAAGTCTTGCGAACCAGGCTGTGTTGGAGTCAGAGAATTGGTATGGGTGTGGTCACCGAAATCAGCTAAGGAGGCCCCTAATCTGTGCTGTCGGCTCTCCTGACTACCTAAGTGCAGGAGTTGGGTCTGTAAACCACAGTGACTGAGACAGATCTCAATTGATTTCGAGGCTTATTTTGCCAAGGTTGAGGAGGCACCAGAGAAAAAGAAACATAAATCACAGTAGAATCTGTATCCTATGCTTTTTCCAGATAGAGTTTTGGGAACCTCAGTGTTTAAAGGGGAAAGAGCAATCAGGAGGGGAAGAAAAAGGAAAAATAAAAGGAGGGAGGGTAGGCAATGAGACAAGTGGTTACAATTCTTGTGAGGCTCTGTGAATCTACATTTTACACCTGAAAAGAAAGCGGAGGAGTCAATTAAGCATTAGTCTGGCACTCAGCAAATCTACATTTTACATAAGAGAAAGTCAGCCTGCGAAATTACAGCTGTCTTGGAACAAAAGGAAGGGAGTTTTTGCATGACTCAGTTTCCAAGCTTAACTTTTCCCTTTGGCATAGTGAGTTTGGAGTCCCGAGATTTTATTTTCCTTTCACAGGCCTTTCCACTGTGGTGTTTTCTTCTGTTTTTTGTTTGTTTGTTTGTTTGTTTTTTGCTTTTTGGGTTTTTTTGGGGGGTGGGGTGGGGTGTGGGACAGAGTCTCATTATGTCCCCTGGGCTAGAGTGCAATGGTACGATGTCAGCTCACTGCAACCTCTGCCTCCCAGGTTCAAGCGATTCTCCTGCCTCAGCCTCCTGAGTAGCTGAGATTATAGGCACATGCCACTACACCTGGCTGATTTTTGTATTTTTAGTAGAGATGAGGTTTCACCATGTTGGCCAATCTGGTCTTGAACTCCTGACCTCGTGATCCACCCACCTCAGCCTCCCAAAGTGCTGGGATTACAGGTGTGAGCCACCACGCCCGACCTTTTCTTCTGTTTATGCAGTGGCATGGAGCAGTCCCTCTAAGAGGGCTGACCCAGGTATGAGTCATTCAGTCAGCCTGAGGGTCCAAGGGCTGCTCCATGGTGAGGCAGACATCCAGAAGGGTCCAGAGGGAGAATCTATGGCAAGAGACAGCAGTCTAGAGGGATGGAAGTGGTGGCAGAAAAGCTGGCTTTTAAAAGGCAAGTTTTTATTCTAGGCTGACTTTCTCTTATGTAAAATGTAGATTTGCTGAGTGCCAGTGAATTTATAATTTTAGAAACCCATCAGGGAGTTTCTAGATGAGTTTCTAAGAAGTCTAAGAAATGTCCAGGAAGGCCCTTAGCCACCTCGTGGAAATTGGGAGAGAAGAAATGTGTGCAGAGAAAAGAGGGATTTTTGATGCAGAGAAAAAGAACAGGTGTGTCCCGGCTGCTGGCTCTGAGTAACCCGTCTAATCTCACTGTACAGAACGTACCTGCACTTTATACTAACAATGAGTGCCATTCAGCGTGCCATTTATGATGTTCACAGTGGCCTTCCTTGGTGTGGTCCCTGAAGCCCTGCAAAGCAGGGACTGTGCGGTCTGAACCAAACAGGGGCCCCTGGGAATAGGGTAGCGTGTTCTGATACCTGAGCTGGTAGTAGAGTCAGAGCAAGAACAAAAGCCCCAGCGAGCAATCTGGGTTCAACCCCTGTCACCTTAGCTCACGTGCCTGCATTGTGAAGTTCACGGTAATAGCTTGACTGCATTCTCGCCATGGTTCTGGGTCAATAAATCAGTCAGTAAGCACTGGGTGAGTAAGTAGTGCAGAGCAAAGTCTGAGCTTGGTGCCACAAGTGGATAAAAAAGAAATAGATGACTCAACCTCTGCTTATAGGGAGGCTCTGATCTAGCTGAGATAGCACAGAAATATTTGGAGAATGACTCTAGTGCAGAACTGAAGGTGCAGAATGACTCTGAAACGTTGCTGCACAGCAGGGTCCAAGAAAGGAGAGGGCAGTGCCAGCTGGGTATGCCAGGAAGGCTTTTGGGAGAAAAATACTGGCCAGGGTCTGGGAGAATCAGCAAACATGCCTGAGGGTAGAAAACCAGTGTCCCAGGACAGGGACCCTGTGCAGCCCTGGGGTGGGCTGGGTGGGACCGAGCCGGCAGTGCCTGCAGGGATGATGGGCACCAGAGCACAGCTCTCAGCCTATGTGTCCCGGAGCTCTGGGCGCTCCCAGGTGTCCTCACTGCACCGTGGTAGCTCCTGTCTCATGGAGCCACCTGTCCTAGCACAACAGCTCCAATCACTGCTATTAGAACAGATCCAAGGGGCAGGCTGGGAGGGTGTTAGGTTCAAAAAGGAGCACTATGTAGAAGCAAGAAAAGAGATGAAAGTTTTGCTCCTATCTGCATCTGGCCAGAGAGCAGACTTTGATTTGCAACACCGTGTGGTCTCTGCAGGATTACGAAAGGGAAGAGGGGGTGGGCGGAAGGCTCTCCTCCCCAGTGCATCATTTTCAGTTTTGTCTTTTACTTTCAAAGAAAGCTGTCTTTCTGACACTGCATTCTGCCCTTTCTGACCCATGTCCCATATTTAAAGGCTTCACATAGACTATATAATCCAAGTTATCCCTCTGTGGAGAAAGTGGCTATGAGAATTAGAGAGACAAAGGGTGTGCTTGTGGGAATGGGATGTAACGTCAGAGCAGGTTCAACCTTACAGCTGTGCAGTCCAGTTAGTCAAATATTAATGAGTCAATTTAATTAAAGATTAGGTCCTCTGTTGCACTAGCCATCCTGCAAAGTCACATGTGGCGAGTGTTTTCATACTGGATAGCACCACAGAAAGTTCTGTTGGGCATCATTGCCACTTGGACCAAGGGATCAACTGCTTTCTGGGTGGGAGAACTGAGGCACAGGGAACCACGGCTTGGACTCCAAACTTAGTGCTCTGATCAGTGTGTTGTCCAAAGCTTCCAGCAGACAAGGATTCAGACCACACAATTCAGGAGCAATAAGATGGCTGGAGTGAACAACAAGTTTCCCTTGACTTTAGAAGAAAAAGATCTCTAAATCCTGGAGATGATTACATGCTTTTCCTGAGGGCTGAGGAAAGAGGAGAAGCAGTTGGTTTGTTTTCAATTAGCCACCCTCCTCCTTTTTCTAAGAAGAGGAAAGTCACTGCCAGGTCACAGGGCTCGGAGCCAGGGTCAGCAGAGGGGCTGGTCGGAGCACCTGAGCCAAGTGGGCTGAGACTCTGATCCTCGTGAGTGTCACCTGCCACCAAATGCTCTCTCCTGGGCTCTGCCATTTGGTTTTTTATGTCTGCACTGTGCTGACCCTTCCATCTCCCAAGCACCCAATGTTCACCGCCCCTCCTTGGCATGTGTGCCCCCTCCACCCAACACACGCCCTCTAGCGCAGGGCGGGATGGGGGCCGCCTGCAGCTGGGCCCTGAACTTCAAAGTTGGGAGAACCTGAGTCACTCATCCCAGCAAGGTGGGCTTCCAAGAAACCCCACTCCCACACTACCCCTGTCTTCCCATAGGTTGTCCCTGGGTCCTGTTAGAATCTCAGAGAGACATGGGACTACGAGTTATCCAAATTCAGGAATAGTCAGAACAAGTGAGTGAAACACACCTTTGCCTGCCTGTGAAGGGCCAGCTTCTGCACGGGCACCAGAGACACAAAGATAAATGCTCCCAATGACCTGATTTACTAAGGAAGGAGAGAGACAGGAACTCACTGCTTAAGGGCTACGTTTATTCATTCCTCTATCCAGCAAATTCTTCAGGACTCCAGCTGTGTGCCCAGCATTATGCAAGAGCTGGGACTTTAATTTTCAGTAAGACCTGCTTTTTCCTTTAAGGAGTTTGAATCTAAGAAGGAAGCAGGCAGCACTGGAGCAATTACCCCACAGTGCCACGATCCTTGTGAGCATAGGAGCTACAGGAAACTCGAGGAGAGCATCCAACCCAGTTTGGGAAGTTCAGGTGTGCAGGAGACACAATGGAGGCTCGAAGGGGGTCGACTCTGCCTGGGGAGGGTGCAAGGAAAGCTTCTGAGAAAGGCAGTGTGGGGGCAGCTGGAGCTGAATCTTGGAGTATGAAGAGGGGACTGCACACCTAAGGCAAGGAACACAACCTTCAGGAACGGAGTTTGGGTGGATGCCGAGGTAGAGGGTTGGGCTTGGAGGGATGGGAAGGTGTAATTGTGATAGGCCTGGTGTGCTTTGCTGAGGATTTTAATTTGATTTGGGAGACACTGAGAGGTGGAAAGCATGAGAGTAACTCAATCAGATCATTCTGATTCTTCCATGTGGAAGGCAGCCCTGTAAGGCAGGGGAGGGTCTGGCTGAGAGAGACAGGCAGGAAATTGTGGCAGGAACCCAGGTGAGAGGGGCTGTGCGGGGATTTGAGGAGGCATGGACAGAGCGTTCTCCAGGAGCCTGCTCCCTGCGCTGAGCGACTGACTGTATCCGGTGTGTGTGTGTTGGGGGTGGGGTGTGTCTAAGGTGATGCTGGGATTCTTACACTGCAGCTGTTGTATCACCAGCAGCAAGGATGATGGCGCAGGAGACACTCAAGGTCATTGCGAGGGGGCACAAACACCTGGAGAAAGTAGCTCATCTTTGAGAGCACCATGTGCTGCAGTATCATTCAGTAGGACCTTTTTTTTTTTTCCGAGAGAGGATCTCTCTGTCACCCAGGCTGGAACACAGTGGTACCATCGTAGCTCACTGCAGCCTCAAACCCCTGGGCTCAAGCATTCCTGCTACTTCCAGCCTCCTAAGTAGCTAGGACTGTGTCAGCCAGGCTGTGCTTGAATAGTGAGATTCAGGCATGGGCCACAACACCCAGCTAATTTTTAAATTGTTTTGTAAAGATAGGGCCTTGCTGTGTTGGCTTAGGCTCAATATAACCTTTCTATGGGACATTTATTTGTTTAGTAAACTTTCTCTGCCTCTCTCTCTCTGGTTTTGCTTTTAACCCCAGAGGCCTAAGACTGAGTTGCTGATCTTCCTGTTTTTGGCCCGATCACACTCCTGAAAAGACTCTTTTAACTCTCATTTCCTGCTCCAGCCCCGTCCTCCCATAGGCAGCTTGCTGCAACCTGCTGTGGCTGATCCACTGGGTGGGCCCGAGCAATGGCTGCATTTCTAGTAGGGGGAGTTCTCCTTGCCACAGGAGATCACATACACACTCCCTAGGCTGAGCTCAGGAATGCAAACTCAAGTCAGCCTAACAGGGTGAGGCTGTCCCATAGGAAGCAACATTTAGAAAAGAGTCAGGCCAGACTGGATTCCAACCCTGCTGGGTGCAGATGGCTGGTCGGCAATGCCCCACAGCTGTCTTGGCCTTCCATGTGGACTGCTGAGGCTTCACATTTCCCCTTAGTAACACAGCTGGGGCATTGCAAGGGGGTGGGGTGGGGGAGCTGAACTGCAGAGGACTCACCTTCTGTGGGAGAAGATGGAAGGGAGGGGAGATAAAACCGCAGCTGACTATATTCTAAGCACAGTCCAGATGTTTAAATCCTTATTGACAACTTAAAAACAAACCAGGGGTGGGCCGGGCGCGGTGGCTCACGCCTGTAATCCCAGCACTTTGGGAGGCCGAGGCAGGCAGATCACGAGGTCAGGAGATCGAGACCATCCTGGCTAACACGGTGAAACCTCGTCTCTACTAAAAATACAAAAAATTAGCCAGGCGCGGTGGCGGGCGCCTGTAGTCCCAGCTACTTGGGAGGCTGAGGTAGGAGAATGGCGTGAACCCGGGAGGCGGAGCTTGCAGTGAGCCGAGATAGCGCCACTGCACTCCAACCTGGGCGATAGAGTGCGACAATGTCTCAAAAACAAACAAAACAAAACAAAAAAAAAACAGGGGTTTAGATTTTGGGATAAAACCAAACCAAACTCCTAAATGTTCCATAGAGGTGGTAAAGTGGTAAGAGGATAGTTTTGAAACCTACAATTGCTTTTTGGTTTATGTGTCTGATTGAATGTTTTTTCTTGATAAAACTTAACTGAGTACTTAGTATATGCCAGGCACTGTGTTAAGAATGTGACCTCATTTTGGGAGGCTGAGGTGGGAGGATCGCTTGAGCCCAGGAGTTCAAGACTAGCCTGGGCTACATAGCGAGACCCCATTACTAAAAAAAATTTTTAAAATTAGCCAGGTGTGGTGGCACATGCCTGTAGTCATAGCTACTTGGGAGGCTGAGGAGAGAGGATTGCTTGAGCTTGGGAAGTCGAGGTTGAAGTAAGCCGTGATTGCACCACTGCACTCCAGCCTGGGTTTAGGTTTTTATCAGATTGAGAGACTGAGCTAAGAGAGTAATGATACTTATTTCTTGCCTGCTTTACTGGGGTGTAGGGGGAGGTGACGATAGTAGGAAACAGTGCCTGGGCCTCCTCAAATATTTCCTAGAGATGGGATAACAGCCACGTATCCTGAGCAAATCCAGGCAGGCTCTGTGTCGGTGCTGCAGATGCAGGGACAGGTCAAGTATTGCAGGGATGGTGGGGGGCAGGGGGTGGTGGCCCCTGAGGTGGCCTGTAGGGGTGACATCCCTGAGTGGAGCAGGCTGATGTGCCAGCACCCCCATTAAAGGCCACTTTTAGGGCAGGTGCTAGGGAGGCTGCTGGAGGAAAAAATGACTGGGGGCTAAGGAAGCAGGGCACAGAGTGGAGTTGCTGGCAGAAGGCCACAAAGGGTTTTGTTCAGCTTCTCTGCCAGATGCATTTATTTTCAGAGATGGCCTGCTGGAGCCTTCTCTTTTCTATATGCATCCTCTCGAGACACAGACTAAAGCCACAATGCTCACCTCTGCTGTAGGGGAGTTTGCAGGGCAGGCCTAGAAAGGGTCAGCTAGAGGCAACCTCTTTTCATTCTATCCTGATAATCACTTGCAAATTCCAATAGGCAATTAGAAAAAGCACCAAGATTGCAAGAGTGCTAATTTTCCAGCATTTCCTTGGTAAAAGCTCCCTGTGATTTTATGGGGAAGGGGCGGGACAAGCAGTGGCTGCACGGATCCCACCCAGCCGCTGCACCAGGCTGTGCCAGGAGCCAGAGGGAAGCACTGTATGCAAGTAAAACGCACTCCTGTTTCAAAATGTTTTCCAGCGAGCTGTCCTGGGATCTCTGGTGTGAATGCACCCTAAGCACAGACTGACGCGCGCTCCCTTACCCTTCTGACCCTGCTTCCTGCCTCTGCTTATCACCCGCCCTGGGTTCAGAGTTTGAGATGCCCAGGCTCTGTGACTCTTCACTTCCAACGGCTCCCTGCAGCCCATGCCGGCCACCACTTTAGCACTGGTGAATGCTAAAGTGAATGAAAAGGAGATGGGACTCCAACTTTGTAGTAAAAACCACTTACTCTCTTATTCATGTGCACCCTCTCTAACCCAAACTATTTTTGATGAAGTACTTCACCAAGATGTGTGTTTTTAGTTGGTGGGGGAGGGGGTAGAACAGGAGAGGATGAAGAGTAGAGGAGAGCAGGACTCTTCCTCCTCCACAGAAGGAAACTTGTGAAAACATGTGGGACCCCAGGCTACTGCTCAGTAGAGTCCTCGAGGTGTTTATATTTGCCCAGTGCTGGACTCATGACAGATTATTTTGCCTGCAGGGTCTTAACAACATTTTGTAGGTGGTCTTGTAAAGGAAAGCAAATATTTAAGGCTTTTCTCCTTCCCTCTCCCTAATTGTTTATGTGGGGAGAGAGGTACCAGTTGCTCCTGATAAGAGCAGGCCACAGCCCCAGGCAGCTGCACAGCGCACAGCCATGTGAGCAGCTCTGGCCTGCTGTGGTGAGCACTGCGTTGACTTCACTGCCCCCTGGGAGGAGGCCGCCAGTTAAGTGGGGAAAATGCATCTGAAAATGTTGAAGTGGATTGCTTCCACTGTCAGGGCATTTGGGGGAAACATCTATGAAATTGGTATAGCCCAGATGTCTTTATATGCACATGCTTAGCAAATCAGGATTTAACAGATGGCATGAATATATATACTTTGCATATCTAAAGATGCTTATATGATTAAATGTAAGTGATTTTGAATACGTGTACCATACACATCTTGCAAAAGAAAAGCCGACCAATTATATGGTCCATGTTATGGTTTACATATGTGGCCATCATTATAAATTATGTCTATCAAGCACTTACAGGGAGTTGAATTAGTTACTGTACAAAGCACACAGCCCTCTTTAGGAATTTATGATCTGGGGAAAACAGTGTTGCCTGCAAGGGAATTAAAGACTGTATCATCTGTAATAACAATCGAGATTAGTATGTGGTTTTACAAGGTACAAAGTACTCTCAAAACATATCATATGATCTTCACAAAGGCCTGAGAAGGTTAAGTGTCTAGGGAAAGGTCATGCAGTTATTCAGAGCTAGGCGGGTTCATTACCAAGTTTTGGTCAGTTCTTTCCTGCCCCTAGTGCTGACATCCGCAGGTCCAGTCCAGCCCTGGGACTGGGTGGGTGTGAGGGGCCTTGACTGGGAATCTGGATGCAGAGGCCATGCTGTGTTTATGTGATAGGCTCGCTGTGATTTCTGTGGTGTGGAGAGTGGTGAGCGTGGGGTCGGATATTCAAGAGAGCTGCAGCGCTGATGGGCAAGGCTATGTGGCAGCCATGGGGGCTACCTTGAGGCCAAGTTTCCTTGGGGGATGGGGCCAGGGATTTGCAATAGCCAGAGTCCCCCCAAGGATGTGATTTCTGCAGGGAAAGCACTGCTTGGATGACTCGTTGTCCGGAGTTGTGCCCACCAGGTGTTGGAGAACATGCCAGAGGGCTGGGTGGACAGTGTCAGCGGAGAGACTGGAGAAAGCAGCTGGTGCTGAGCAGGTGCAATGGGCTGGGCTCAATGCCAGGAAGCTGACATCACTTCATCTCCCCTTCTTTCATCAAACCTTTTAGCACCCTCTTCCACAGGTGAGGACAGAGAGCTCAGACAGGCTGAAAATGTGTTCAAGCTTACATGATCTGGTAAGTCAGAGCCAGCCTCCGAGCCACCGGCTTCCTCTGAAGCCTGAGTTCCTACCCATTCTGCTGGCTGTCTCCCGAGTACTGTGGGCACATGAGGCCAGAGATCTCAGAATTCAGCTGCACTGGAATCCCCTGGAGGGCTGGCTGAAATGCAGGTTGCCTGCTCCCACTGAGTTGCTTACTCCCTAGGGTGCAGTGGGCCGGAGAATCTGCATTTCTAACTAGTGTTCAGGTGCTGCTGCTGCTGCTGCTGCTGGTGGTGGGTATCCATTTTAGGGACCACTGCTTGAGGCTGGGAGACTGGCTGGGGCAGGGGACACTGAGGTCTCATTCTGATTCCCCTGGGACCTGAGTGAGCTCCCCTGAGCCTGCTGGTGAATTCCCATTCTGGCTGTTCATGTCTCGAGGTGCATGGGGTGGGGAGACGCCTCTTTTCAGAAGTGCATGTTGCCCAGCCACAGGAGCTACGTCTTTTTGTTTATGTGTTTGTTTTTGAGGCAGGGTCTCACTCTGTCTCCCAGACTGGAATGCAGTGGCACAATTACGTCTCACTGGAGCCTCAACTTCCAGAGCTCAAGCCATCCCCCCACCTCATCCTCTCAAGTAGCTGGGACTATAGGCGCAAACCACCATGCCCAGCTAATTTTTAAATTTTTTTTAGAGAGGAGGACTCACTTTGTTGCTCAGGCTGGTCTAGAACTCCTGGGCTCAAGTGATCCTCCTACCTCGGCCTCCTGAAGTAATGGGACTACAGGTGTGAGCCACTTCGCCCAGCCAGGAACTATGACCTAAGCTTCCCCTTGTTAACCTGTGCCAGGCACACAGTGACTGCTCAGTGAATAGTTAGCATCTCGCTGGCTTGCCTAACACCCTCAGAGGCCTCAGACCCCTCAGTCATGAACCCCTGCTGCCGTCCTGCATGGATGCTGCCCTTGTTGTGGGGCCAGGATGTCTCCATTCTTGTCCACGGAGCTCCACCATTTAGGAAACAAGTCTCTTTCTGGGGTTTTAGAACTCCGTCTATATTCAATAAAATTCACATGATCATTCAGCTAGGACTGCCCCCCCGGGCCTGCCTCCTTGCTGAGTTCTGGGCCCCATTTCTCCCAGTGGGAGCAGGGCTCGGTCAGCATCAGCAGCAGTTCCTGAGTGAGGGAATCACAAGCGTTGCTGCTCTGTGGGGTGTAGCCTCACCCCATGGGTCTGGAGCAGGCCACCAGTGCCAGTCCCAGGTTTCTGTGCCCAGGAAGACACTTTCTACAACATCAGCTCTGTGGGTGAATTTGGAGGAGAAAAGCATGTTTTTAAAATTTCTGCCAAAGCAGATAGACATTTTATAGATTAGAAGTACAATTTGCATGATTTTTTAAAGATAGGAATTTAGACGTGAAGGAAATGTGCTTTTGAATGGGGCCAGTCTCCTTGGTGTAACACTATCGCTCTTCTGAGCCTGTAGGGTCATTTCTGTGGAAAAATTTGAAAGTCAATGACGAAGAGTAAGCAAAGCAATGGAGCTGCAAGCAGTGACCATCTTACTATCTTGATATTGAGACTTTATGTAAATATCAGCTGCAGATTTTATGGAAGAGAAAGAAGTCGACAGGGAGCAAAAGTTGTGTGTGAGGGATAGTGGTCCTGGAGCTACTGTGTGGGAAGACAATGGATCTGTCCTGGACAATTGCTGTCACTAGCCTGCAGCCATCAACATCAAGAAGTCAACACTTGTTCACAGCCTCAGTATTCGTAAGGGTCTGTGTTGCCAAAGGAGGTCACAATGATCCCTCTATCCCAACTGCCCTTTTGGTGGCATCACTTTGCCAGTTGGTCTGTGACTTGCTTTGGCCAATAAGTTACAGCAGAAATTCTCCCTTAAGTTATAGCTTCTATTCTCTCTCTGTCTTGGGAGCCAGCTGCCTTGTTTAGAAGCTCAGACCAAGCTGCTTGTTGGTGAGGTCGCTCAGACAAAGGTCAGAGTGCAGGAGGCTTAAGGCACTGGGCGAGAGCCAGCATCACGCCTAGACGACCGCCTGTGGCCAGCTCAGGGCCAGCTCAGTCACCCAATGATCCCTGTGGAGCAGAGATGGATCATTCTGCAGAGCTTTGCCCAAATTCCTGAGCCTCAGAATCAACAGAAAGAACACAGTGGTGTTTTAAACCACTACGCTTTGGGATGGTTTGTTACGCAGCAATAGACAGCTGGCACAGGCCATTGGCACAACCACTTTGTTGTGTATTGTATAGGCACAGTGGTACATTTAAAAATGCTTATTATCTTCCTTAAGGTAATAGGTGAAGAGTCTTTAATGAGAATAATCCAGTAAATAAGTTGATTAAAAATAATAATGTCAAAGCTGGGTGTGGTGGTTCATGCCTGTAATTCCAGCACTTTGGGAGGCCTAGGAAAGAGGTTTTCTTGAGCCCAGGAGTTTGAAACCAGTCTGGGCAACTGAAACCCCATCTCTACAAAAATAAAATAAAATAAAATAAAAGATTAGCTGGTCATCGTGGCATGCACATGTAGTCCCAGCTACATGGGAGGCTGAGGTGGGAGGATTTCTTGAACCCAGGAGTTTGAGGTTGCAAGTGAGCTATGATCCTGTCACTGCATTCCAGTCTGGGTGACAGAGCAAGACTTTGTCTCTAAAATAATAATAATAATAATAATGCCACTATTAGCCAGAATATTAGCCTTATTATTAGCCTTATTGGTCAATTAAGGCTACTTTGAAGATAATTCCGCTTAATAAAATATACCATACAATAACCATAAGACAAGAGCAGATGGGTGAGTCTTGAAGCCTGGGTGCTTTAGGAGCAACTGGAGGAAAATGCTGCATGAGAAGACACTGCAGGAGAAACTCTGACAGTTCTTGCGTCCTGGGATAAAGGAGGGAGGCTTTTGTCAGAGCTGACCGCACATGGGATACATTTGAACATTTTCTCTTTCCCTTTCAGTGAAGCAGAGCCTGCAGCCCCTGGCCAGTGCATGTGGATCTTTTCTGCTTAATGTTTTGTTTACTTCACTGCTGGTTTTCCTGGGAACACTAGTGTGTGTTTTAAATTACCTCTCTTTCCCCTTTAGACCGGAATTAGCCTCTTTTCCCTCCAAGGCAAGATTCTGTGTGCCAGTGTTTCAGGGAAAAACTCTCAAACTGTTTTTCCTCTGCTCTCACACCACAACCATCAACACAGAAGTCTTCTGTGCCCAAATGCAGGGGGCTTGTTTTCCACCAACAAGCAGTGGACGGACAGCAGCTGGGTGTCCTCCAATTCAATTCTGACACTATCTGGAGATAGCATCAAGTCCCCCAGGTTGAGGGCTGAGTCCCCAA
Source organism: Homo sapiens (assembly GCF_000001405.40). Taxonomy (NCBI): domain Eukaryota; kingdom Metazoa; phylum Chordata; class Mammalia; order Primates; family Hominidae; genus Homo; species Homo sapiens. The sequence goes on from NC_000001.11 coordinate 228,871,834, forward strand.
GACTGCCCCTGACACTGCCAGACACCAGTCATGAGCCTCTGGAACATCTGACAGAGCAGCTTCAACTTGGGGCTCCCACAGCCGCCTCTTTCGGTTCAATTAATTTGCTGGAGCAGCTCACAGGACTCAGGGAAAACGCTGACAGGTTTATTATAAAGGATATTACGTAGGACACAGATGAAGAGATGCATAGGCTAAGATATGGGGGAAGGGACACACAGCTTCCATGCCCTCTCTGGGAACCTCCATTTGTTCAGCTATCAGGAAGCTCTCTGAACCCCGTCCTCTTAGATTTTTAAGGAGGCTTCATTACACAGGCATGATTAAACCATGTAGAAATGTGACTGGACCAAAAGCACATGATCGAAATCCAGCAAAGCCTGTCTGCTCAGACTTTTCTTATCTCTCTGTGCAGGATTCCTTCCTTCCTCTAGGGCATGGGGCAGGACCCTCTCTGGAATAAGGGTTTTTGACCCACCGTCAGATTCGAGTCTTGCCTTGGGCAGGTGAAAGACAGGAGGAGGTCAGAGAGAGAGATTCTGTTTCATGAGGCCTGCGCCTGAGGGCTAAAGCACCCCAACACTGTAACGAAAGACCGTGACAAAGGCTATGGGGTTATGGCCAGGAACTGTTGATAAGAGATATATATATATAAAATCATAATCATAATATCACACCCGGGGTGCGTCTCATGTTCCCATTTAGCAGCTTCTTTTTCCTTTCTTTTTTTTCCCCGTTTCTTTTCTTTTCTTCTTTTCTTTCTTTCTTTCTCTCCCTTTCTTTCTTTTTTTGTTTTTTTTTTGAAACAGGGTCTTACTCTGTTGCCCAGGCTGGATTGCAGTGGCACAATCTCAGCTCACTGCAAACTCCACCTCCCAGGTTCAAGCAATTCTCAGGCCTCAGCTACCTGAGTAGCTGGGATTACAGACATGAGCCACCACGCCCAGCAGCGGCTTCTTTCTTGATGAACTGTTTCTACTATTTTTCTTTTCTTGTTTTTTTTTTTTTTTTGAAGCGGAGTCTCACTCTGTCGCCCAGGCTGGAGTACAGTGGCATGTAGGCTCACTGAAGCCTCTGCCTCCAGGGTTCAAGCAATTCTCCTGCCTCAGTCTCCCGAGTAGCTGGGATTATAGGCAGGCACCATCAAACTCAGCTCCAATTTTTTGTATTTTTAATAGAGACGGGGTTTCACCATGTTGGCCAGGTTGGTTTCGAACTACTGACCTCAAGTGATCCACCCACCATGGCCTCCCAAATTTCTGGGATTACAGGTGTGAACTACCACAGCTGGCCTGTTTCTACAATATTTCTTTTTCTTTTTGTATATAACTCACTATTATTTTTAAAATGGTATCAATATAAGTAACCCTTGGGAAAGGAGCGGGGTACGATTCCTCCTCTAACTGAGCAGCAGTCGTTGGAAGAGTTTATGCTCACACCTCCTCTTGTCTTGCTCGGCTGTCTGCTCTGCAGAACAATGCAGACTCTGACTGGACTCTTAGAAACAGCAAGTTTAGTCTGCCTGCTCATGTCCCACCTTGCAGAGCTCCAGCTGCCGGGGTGTCCTGGCTGTGTTCCTCCTATTTAACCAAGCTTAGCCCGACAGTGGCATCCCAGCGAGGCAGGGTGGCTGTTCCTTCGCTCCTCCTGCTCCTAGTGACATTATGGCTCAAATGAATCTTTAATTTGCTTTTCATTCTCCATTCCCCTCCATCTTTCTCTCCTGCTCTTTCCTCTGACCTCCCCAGATAGCCATTTTTTCCTAATTCTTCACACTTATTTTAACCCATAGGTATTTGTAGAGCACCTGCAATGGGTGAGGTGCTATGTTTGGCCTTGGGGACACAGAGGTGACCTAGATCTGCTCCCAGCCCCAGGGAATGTGCCATCTAGTGAGGACAAATAAACCAACAGAAAAGAAATATTCAAATGAATAAAATAATTGCAAATGGTGGTAAGTGTCATGAAGGAAATAAACGAGGAGCAAGCTGTGTCATTTTAACCGAGGCCTGAGGTAGCTAATGAATTAGTCACTGAAGGAGGGCTGGGATGGGTCAGAGGAAGCCACGGGGCACAGTCTGGACATTTTCAGCTTTCATCCTTTGTCTGTGCACATTGCTGACTGTCTTCTGCTCCCTAATTCAGGCTTGGCCAGACTTGTCCATATCCTAAATCTTAGACCCTCATGGCAAACTGGTGGGCCACAAGGCTGGCCTCTAAAATCTAATCACTTGAAGCTGGTCCCAGGAGACTCCCATGGAGAATAAGGTTGATTAAAATTTATTTGCTTGAAATATTTTTTTATTGCTATACTTTTTTTAACAAAAGAAATACATTTGTGTAGAAGGCTGGGCATGATGGCTCATGCCTGTAATCCCAGCACTTTGGGAAGCCAAGGTGGGTGGATCACTTGAGGTCAAGAGTTCGAGACTAGCCTGGCCAACATGGCGAGACCCCCCCCCGCCACACTAAAAATACAAAAATTAACCAGGCCTGGTGGCGCATGCCCATAATCCCAGCTACTCAGGAGGCTGAGGCAGGAGAATCGCTTGGACCCAGGACATGGAGGTTGCAGTGAGCCAAGATCGCATAATTGCACTCCAGCCTGGGTGATGGAGTGAGACTCTGTCTAACAAAAAACAAACAAACAAACAAACAAAATTTGTGTAGAAAAAAATTATAGCAAAAGGAAGACATCAAAATATCTATAATCCTACCACTCTGATATAATTATTTTTACACTTCTGGTTATCTTCTTCCAGAACTTTTCTTATGCATGCATATGTGTGCATAAATAAAATGGACAAAACTGTGTGCCTATTCACTTAATAGTGTATCTTGGTCATCTTTCCATTACCTGCCACATCGTTTGTTCACAGCAATATCACTTTTTCTACCCTAGTTTTAATTGATCTTACTGCTAGACATTTGGGTTATTTGCTATTCAAAACAACATTTTAATTAAATGTCTCTGTAGCTGAACCTTTATGCACACTTCTAATATTGATTATTGAGTCAAAGCAGTTGCCCACAGTTATGAATTTGAACATGGATCTTGGCTAATTCTTTAAATACACATGAGCTCTCCACAACCTCCACTGCTATCTGGGGCAGACAGGGACACTTGCAGGGACACGGGCTGTGTCCTCCCCGCATGTGTGAGATGGCTATGTGTCCACTCATCATTTCTGCAGTTGGATTGCTGACAATAATGAGTTTTTTCTAGATCAAGGCATCTGGACCAAGAGAGAAGAAAATATTTCAGGGACTGAGCATTAATGGCCATAGTGCATTAACTGAGCATAACGGTTCATTTGGAGAGAAAAATACTGAAGGAAACCTGGGTGGTCAGAAAACTCTAAAGCCACCATATTTGTGGTTTTAGTTTTTAAACTCTCCCTCTCCAAAATCCCAAAGCATTTTACCTCTGCTGAGTCTATTTTAATGGAGAGGAAAAGTGAGAAGTCTAAACTTTCTCCTAATTGATTTTTGGCTGCTGTGTCTATGAGAGACATGGAAACACTGTTCTTTGCAGATTTATTTCTTCTTATATTAGGGCAAAGTTGGGTCTATTTATTTCTGTTTCCTTGGTGGTTTGATAATTATGATCAGTGAGAGTATTGTGAGTGGAGGGTAGGGGAGTACGTTACAGAAATCATTAGCCATCATTAGCTACATAATCATCCCCAATAATCTGGTATATTGTGGCTCAAAGAGAAAGACGAACTCCAAGCACCAAAGAAAAGAATGTCACTCAAAGGTCAAATGGCCCAGGTGAGCCTGGAATGGAAAGAGCCATCGTTTATGTTGCTAGTCTACTAAAGCTCCCCAGGATTGGGAATTCATATAATGAAGGGAAGAATGAAATAGTCCAACATGAAAACAACATTGCTGGGAAGTCCTTTTAATTCAAGCTAGGCCATTGTAGCAGGTTGTCAGAGACCCTCAAGGTCACACAACTGTACTTGAACTGAGAACTTGCTTCCACTAACTGGGGGGTGCATGTGAGCAACTCAGCTTGCTCCGACTCTGTCTCGGGCCAGGTCTGCACTGGAGCTGGTAGGCGGATCAGGAGAAAGACATTTCTCAACAGCTGCCTCTCTCAGCCTCCCTCCTCCTCCTTATTATTCCTAGAAATGACAACAAATGTTGCCTGTTTTGCAAAAGGGCTGCCCAGCTGCTTAATTTGCAAATAAGAAAGGATAAATGGATTCTTTCTCATTTTGGAACTGGAGAAGGGGAAAGCAGGAGTTTAGTATTTTCAACAGGAGACCAGACCCTGTGGAGGCCACCCTAGGAATGGTGAGGCTCCACGGTGCCTGATGGGCCTTCTGATTCTTTATTGCTCAGTAACAAACCACCTAAAACTTAGTGGCTTAAGAACACAACATTCAGTTTGCTTGCAGATCTCCAATTTGGGCAGAGTTCAGCGAGGACAGCTTCTTTGTCTCTGCTCCATGGATAGAGGCTGAGGGGTGACTAGTCCTGGGGCTGCAGTCATCTCTGGGCTCACCCGTTCAACATGACTGGGTTGTTGCTGGGGGATCCCACTTGGGCCATCAACTAGAACCATTATAGGGGCCCCTCCCTGTGGCTGCTGGGCTACTTCACAACATGATGGCTGGATTCCAGGAGACAGGAAACAGCAGCCACCAGCTTCTTCAGGAAGCATCCCCTTCTGCCGTACTCAAGTGACTAAGGAGCCTCAGAGAGCTAGGACTCAGGAGGGTCACACGTAGACCCCCCCACTCTTAGTGGAAGGGCTGTAAGAGATACCGGGCCTTGTTTTATAGTGGTCACAGTGGTTTATCTTTCAGTTGTAGAATCACAGCATTTACTTCTTAGAAGTCATTGAGGCCATTTTCAATGAACCTCCACACTTTGCAGGAACCTTGTCTGCAGCACGCTAGCATAAGTTAGTTGTGGTCTGCCCTGGACTGGGAGATCGTGTGATCATCACAGAGCCATCCTACAGCAAGGAGGACCCGGAGGCATCAGGCGCATAACAAGAACATGAGAAAGGCCCTTCCTTTAAGCCCTTGAGCCCCTGGCTAGGTCCCTGGCAGGACTACTGGGATCAGCCTCCACCTTTTCTGTGTCTTTCAGAATGGTTCAGATGCAGAGGAGGAGCTGTTAGAAGTGTAGTCCCCCAGAACCCGTGGGCCATGAGAGCCAGAACAGCCAGTCTTTGCACATGAGCCAGTAGTCCATCTAAGTGGTACTGCCTTAGGAGTTTACTCAACTCTTTAAACTTACTGCCGTCATTATCAACAAAACCATCATCTTCAACTTCATTACACTTGACGGTATCTCTGCACTTCTTAGCACCTACCACTTGACACTTATGCTTCCTGTGTATGCCCACATAGGTGTGTATGTGACTCTGAAATCTGTCCTCCTTACTAGAAAGTAAGCTTCATGAGGACCAAGTCTTTGAGTGCTTTCCTCATTACTGTTACCCTGGTGCCTGCAACAGTGACTGCACTCTGTAGGTGTCTAATAAAAATAAATAGTTTTAAGGGAATAAATGAATGATCACCATCACCATTGTCATAATCACCTCATAGTGACTTTTTGTTTATCCCAACCAAATGTCTGTCTCTTGATTCTTATACTTTCTCTTAATCCTTGTTTTTCTGCTAAAAAGACATAAATTGCTAAAATGTTTGATAAGCAGTTGGGGGGTCTGCTTTCTTTTTTATTTGCTAATCAAACAAGTTATGAGATCTTTCCTTGGTTTTGGCTTTGATTGGAAGAATTGTTGAATTAGCTGTTCCCTCTAAGTTTACTTTTAGTTCCAAAATATTAACATATAAACCATAGATAAATGCAGCTACAGCTACCTATGCCAAAAATTTCCTGCACAAATTCTGATGACTTCATGAGTTTGTGTTAGTTATAAGAGGTCTAAGAATGAGGAAAACGGTGTCATTTGGTAGGCCTTCAGTTTAGAATCACGACATAGCAGGGATGTGACTTTCTTAAAACCAATATCCTAGCATTGTGCTTCACCTTAAAATGAATCCATCACTAAGCTTAAATGATGAGGAAAATGGAAGAAAAGAGAAATTCTATTTCTTATGAATTTATTTTTATTTTTATTTTGTGAGACAGAGTCTTGCTCTGTTGCCCAGGCTGGAGTGCAGTGACAGGATCTCAGCTCACTGCAACCTCCACCTTCTGAGTTCAAGCAATTCTCCTGCCTCAGTCTCCCGAGTAGCTGGGATTACAGGCATCTGCCTAATTTTTGTGTTGTTAGTAGAGACGGGGTTTCGCCATGTTGGTCAGGTTGGTCTTGAACTCCTGACTCCCGTGATCCACCTGTCTTGGCCTTCCAATGTGCTGGGATTACAGGTGTGAGCCACCATACCCGGCCTTATTTCTTATGAATGTAGCACTTAGGAAAGGAAGGAATCTGGCCTGGGACTCTTACTTCTTTGACTTCTCTGGGTTCTCATCAATCACCAAAAATGGTCGACTCTGTCTCAGAAGCCTCCTGCCTTCCCTTTCTCGTCCAAGCGTCCATCACACAGCACCACACCTGAGAGGTGATACAGTCTCTAGTCCCTTTGCCGCTGGAGGAAAACTGAAGACCTACCAAATAATACGGGCTCTTAGGAGGCCTGGAAGCTGTGGTTGGTCAGTCTTATGCTCCTCTCAAGGCCCTGTTCAATTTGCCTGCTTCCTGAAGCTGACCCTTATTCCCAGGCATGGTGACATCACATCCACCCAGTCCCTTTAGCTCCGATTTTCCACACTGTTTTTTTCGCATCCTAAGTCCATTATCTTTTATTCTTAGTCATTTTCTTATACTCATGACTAGTATCTCTCCATCTAGGATTCAAGCTGCAGGTCTGAGAGGAATAAAAAAATAGCAAAAGAAATTATCAACAGAGTAAACAGACAACTTACAGAATAAGAGAAAATATTTGCAAACCATTCATCTGGCAAAGGCCTAATTTCTAGAACCTATAAAGAACTCAAACAAATTTACAAAAAAAAAAAAAAAGACAAATAACCTCATGAAAAAGTAGGCAAAGGACATGAACAGAACTTTTCAAAAGAAGACATACATATGGAAAAAACTCAATACCACTTGTCACTAGAAAAATGCAAATCAAAAACACAATGAGATACCATCTCACACCAGTCAGAATGGCTACTATTAACACGTCAAAAAATAAAAGATGCTGGCAAGGTTGCGGAGAAAAGGGAACACTTATACACTGTTGGTGGGAGTGTAAATTAGTTCAACCATGGTGAAAACCAGCATGGGAATTCCTCAAAGAGCTAAGAACAGAACTACCATTTAACCCAGCAATCCCATTCCTGGGTATATACTCAAAAGAATAGAAATCATTCTACCATGAAGACACATGCACGTGAATGTTCATTGCAGCACTGTTCACAATAGTAAAGACATGGAATCAACCTAAATGCCCATCAATGACAGATTGGATAAAGAAAATGTAGTACATAGACACATGGAAAACTATGCAGCCATAAAAAAGAATGAGATCATGTCTCTTGTGGGAACATGGATAGAGCTGGAGGCCATTATCCTTAGAAAAGCAATACAGGAACAGAAAACCAAAGACCTCATGTTCTCCCTTATAAGTGGAATCTACCTGAGGATGGAGAGTGGGAGGAGGGAGAGGATCGGAAAAAAAGACTATTGGGTACTAGTCTTAGTGCCTGGGTGATGAAATAATCTGTACAAAAAACCTCTGTGACATGAGTTGACCTTTATAACAAACCTGCACATGTATTCATGAACCTAAAATATAAGTTTAAATATTGTTTTTAATAAAACCTCTTTAATACCCACAATATTCAGCACTTGCTTCTGGTCACCAAATGTGTGTGGTTTTTCCCACACCAAGCAAGTCTCCAATTCTCTGTGGACTCCAGCTGGGTATCCTACCATTCAATTCAATGCTGACGCTGTCTGTACGTAGAATTAATGCAGACCCTATAGGTTATGGGCTCAGTTCTGCAAGGCTGCCCACCCCCATTAATTCAGACACCAGCCACAAGTCCAGTTGACAGCTGGGCTTCTGATGAACCAGCTATAATTTGGAAGATCCCCCTCACCTCCTTCCCAGGTTCAATAATTTGCTAGCACAGCTCATAGAAAACAATTTACTTACTAAATCACAAGTTTATTATAAGACTACAACTCAGGAACAGCCAGATAGATGAGCTGCATAGGGCAAGGTATTGGGGAGGGGTGCGGTGCTTTCATGCATTCTCCTGGGTGTGCTACCCTCCCGGTATGTGGATGTGTTTACCACCTGGAAGCTCTGTGAACCTCATTCTTTTGGGTCTTTAGGGAAATTTTATTGATTGCATCATTGGCCATGGTGATTAGCTCAATCTCCAGCCCCTCTCCCCTCCCCAAAAGGTAGGGGTGGGGATGAAATTGCATCTCTCTACACGGTTGGGTCTTCTGGCAACTGATCCCCCATCCTTTGGGCTTTTCAAAAATCACCTCGTGAACAGAAACAGTGTAATTGGAAGGGACTTGTTATGAATAACAAAAGGTGTTCCTTTCACCTTTATTGCTCTTATCTCGTAGGAAATTCCAAAAGTTTTAGAAGCTCTACACCAGGAACTGGGATGAAGACCAAATATATTTCTCATTATAAGTCACAATATCACAAGGCATTTTAAAACATATCGTATTAGTAGGGAATATGAGGTAGAGTAAGTCCAATAGGTTATGAGATGATCACCTTTGGATGGAGAGTTTACTACTCACAGTTCCAAGAGGAAGGATCATGCCATGAATGGGGTGGGGGCACCGAGGAGGATTGGTCGGGAGGCAGAAGGAGCGAGGGAAAAACAAGGGCAAGAATCTTTAGTGTGGTTTCCATGGTAAGTAATGGGTGATGCAGTGTAATTAGGCTTAAGAATGGCTAGTTTGAATAATTTCCGTGGACTCTGGGGCATAGGGGCTGGCCCTAATTGTCTGATACCTGGCTCCAAGGTGATTAAGACAGGTGGATATGATCCAGTGTCCCCAATAAAGAAGGCAGTGTGGGTGTGGGCTCTGGATTGGTTGGTTTGTTATGAAAGGTGTGCTCACAGACAAGTTGTTTATTATCCCTAAAAATTGAGTAACCTGACAGGGGCAGTCCCGCCATGGTCAGCAAGACCCCAGGTATCACGGCATCAGAATACAGAAAATAAGACATGGGTAATACAGCTGGTGACTAGGAAACACATTTTATGTTTTTATCTCTAGTGTCTGGTCTTAGCAGTCTACATAAATATTATGGAATAATTCTAAGTCAGTGTTTCTCAAAATGGGGCCTACAGAGCATTTATATCAAGCTCATTTGATGAGCTTGTTAAACACATAGATCCCTGGGCCCCTGCCATAGACATGACATCTCAGCACCTCTGGAGATGCTGGGTCCTGGAAATCGGTATATTGGCAAGTTCTCTGTGTGAAACCTGTGTCCACTCTGCCTTGAGAACTACTGTAGTGTCTTATCGATCTCTTCTCCATGCTGGCCCATCAGTCGGCTCTGAGTTCAGAGGAAGGCTTAGTTAAACTCCCAAGAACTTGAGCAACTTTCCCAAATGGAAAGCACCAGTCTCTCATCTCCACATCCCTGGCTCAGTTTGAGAGAATTACTTCTGGAACTGTCAGGGGCTTCCTAGAGCACTGAGACAGAAACAACTTTCCTGTCTCAATTAAGTCAGGTGAGGGAGTGGGTGATGGGGAAAGAGAACTCTACTCTGGGCTGCATTTGGAGCTGTAGAAAACCAAGATATGAAAATAACTTAATGGTAAGTTATGCCCTAACAGCTACTCATTGGGCTCCAAAAGGCCAAGAAGCTTTTTTATTTTTTTGTTCAATTATGTTTGGAGAAATGTTATTTGAGAGAAATATCAGTTAGAACCTACAGTCCCAAAAGCAGAGCTCTGGTGACCCACCTGGGCTTTGTCAAAAGCTGGGGGCAAGGTGAGCAGCCAAACAGTCACGGAAATTAGGGCTGAAGGGCAGCAGGGGTCATAGGGGGTCCACACAAACTGCTATGACATGGGTATACAGCTGGGTCCAATAAGCAGTCCAGATAGGAGCACTGGAGTAAGGAATTGGTTACCTGGAGTAATTTCCTTGGAAGAGTTTGTTCTATTTGTTTTGGCAATCTTTGCAAGGCTGAATTGCCTACCTCCAAGGTTGAACTTACTAATATCTCCTTTAAAGGTTCAGAAGGGACTTCGATGGAGGAATTCTGTGGTCTGAGCTCTGTTCTTTTCTGCACAATTCTCTGGCCCTCCTGAAGCTTCTGTGAGTTACCCACTAACCTTTGATAAGTCCTTGTAACTTGATTAGCTCTAGTGGGTTCTGCTGTCTGCGACAAAGAACCCAGCCTGCTACCCATCCAATGAGCAGGCTACTGGGATTATTAAGCAGACTCCAAACCGTGTGAGACCCATCCACATGCCTCTTTCATCATGACTTTGAACACAGCTCCTGCTCTCTCCATGCCTTGATTTTTCCCCTTCACTGCCCTCAAGGAGGGACCTACTCTAGTTTTAAAGAGTCCTACCCAGTGCTCTGGACTGGAAGTTGCTAAGAAAGTTCAAAGTTTTGAATGCTGAGTAGTGAAGACAACAGGGCTCAGACCTTTATGTTCCTTGTAATCTTCCCCTCAAAGCAATCTTCCTAATTGCTTTGAATTCCTGTCCTTTGTTGTGCTGGCCTGCCTGGCTGTATCTAATTTTCTAGAGGCCTAGGTCACTCTGCTGCCCAGACCCACCATTCAAGTGCAAATGATGGACTGGAGGTGTCAAAGACATCTGGGTCTACAAGAATAAAGTTAGAAAACAATGGAGAAAAAGACTCTCCGTCACCACAACCCCACAGCAGTCCCACTGGGGACCCTCAGTAACACACCATATGCCAGCCCTACCAGCTCTCTGTAGTCTTAACCTCAAATTTTAATATTAAAATCAGCAGCTCAACTTATTTAAAACTTGAGAAGTCTGTGCTTTTTCTAGTTCTGTTAAAAGCAAATGAGCATTTTCCTTTTAGTCTTGTTTAGACAGTGGTATAAATGGATCTGTCAGTCAGATGACACAAAACACACAGCCTGTTTCTCTCTAGATGATGATAATGATGGTGAGAATGATAATGAGGATTGATGGCCATGGAGCTGTCTCATCTTGTCTCCTCCTCCCTAGGGTTGTAGGGGTTTGCAGAGGAACATTTCTTCTTAGTGAGGGAGGAGCTTGGTGGGGTAGGTATTAGGGACACAGGATTTGAGTTCTTCAAGGAGGGCTGCTTGTTCTCTTTGGAAGACTACCTAGGAAAAGCTGATATTGGTGATGCCAGCACAGAAATCTCTACTCCATTCACATTCTCAGGGATTCGGGTGAACCCACCACTTGCATCAGGGCTGCCAAGGAGGATCCAGGGCCGGTGACACAGAAAACCAGGTTCTGATTTGGGCACCATGTCCAGGCCTAGGAGTCCTGAACTGCACATCACCCTAGTTGCAGTTTTCTTCCATTGTAAGGTGTTTCTTCTCCATCCTGCCCCACGATGGCACTTGCCAAAATCACAGGAAAAGATGATATCGAAATGCTAACCAATAATAGGAATGTTACATATTTTAAGCCTTTTTAGGAATGTGGTTTAATGTTGTCCCGTTAAAAACTGAAACTAAGAGGTGATGGATGACTCAAGGTGATGGGGATGGCCAGGCAGGAGACCTCTATCTCTGTTAGGAAGTGCTCCCAGCACCATGGTGCTAACCCTGATGGCTGACCAAGTCACCTTCTCCCTGAATCTGCCCTGCCTGCCTGTGTCCTTGAACTTGTCTCCCCTCAGAACTTCTCCAGCTCGTATAGCCTGTTACTCGTCCCTGGTCTTTGGCCAGCACTGCCTTGCATGATGGCTCCCTTTTACCTGGGACCCTCAGAAAGGCCTCTGAGGGACATCTGACTGCTGTTTTGCCAAAACAGTGCCCCCTGTCAGCAGGAAGCAGTTAAGATTGGTCTTCATCTCCATTTTAATGGCAGTTAGATGTACCTCTTCAGAGGGGGGAGTTGATAGCTACAGGAGGCAGCCAAATGCCTAGGCAGATAGGGGCAGGTCCCCAGTGAAACTTCACCTTCAAGCCAGAAAAACAGCCTGAAGGCTGAAATACTGGACTGCTGGTCCCAGATGAAACCGGTAACCCAGAGTGAGAACTTCTGTTCCTGTTTCCCCAGCCTTTTCTGATAGATTCTTTCTGAACAATACCTTTTAACCATTCAAATGTTGCCTTTTCCAATACTACCTATGGCCTGCCTCTCCCCTATTCTAAGCCCATAAAAGCCCCATACTCAGTCACTTTAGGGGGGACTTTCCCACCTTCAGGTTGGGGGACCACCCCCATGTCCCCTCTCCACTGAAAGCCGTTTCATCACTCAATAAAACTCCCTTCCTTGTTCACTTTTTGGGTGTCAGCATATCCTCATTCTTCTTAGTCATGGGGCAACTCAGGAACTGGTGCACAAGCCAGACTTGGCCCAGGCAGGTTGAGTGGGAGGGCTGTCTCCTGCAGCAGGTAGCGTGGCCAAGCAAGGCCTTGGCAGAGAGTCACCGGCCGGAGGTCCCCAGCTTGCAAAGTGACTGAGAAGAAAATCCTGCATCAATACTTCATGTGAGTATTCTCTCTGTCCTTCAATTAAACCATCAACCATGCGAAGGACATGGAATACTTTGTCCCTCAGGAAATGTTTGCTGTTGCTGGTGATCAGGCTCTCAGAGTGATCTGGAAGGTCACATAGTGCCTACCTTAAGAGGTTGTCCTACTTTCCAAAATATGTTCTCTATCACAATGCCTGGTCCTGACCTGGAGTGCTCATCAGGTGAAAGAGGTAAGGGAGGGGAGAGTCATCTCAACACAGCCCCAGCCCCATGGCCAGGATGTTCTGCAGAGTTCTCTGGGACCCTTCACATTGTTATCTGCAGGGCCATAGTAACTATGAGAGGCAGGTCCTGGCTATTTACTTTTTTCCTGGGCTCTAAGGAAAACTCCCAGAGATTTGCTTTCTTGGAGTTAAGGGCTGTAACTCCACTGGATCCCTTTCCTGTTGCCAGTGCATCCCCGCAGGACCTGCCTCAATCTGTGCCCCAGGAAAAATCATTGTTCTGGCTCTTTCCCCCTTTTTTGACAAACTGTTATCTCTAAAGCTGAAGGGCAAAGTTGAAGAAAAGCAGTGTGCAGTATTGTATTTACAAAGGATAAACAAAGTGACCACGAAACAGAATAAGCCTACCTCATCTGTCAGGCATTAAAAGTGCAGTTTCAAAGAGGGAGAAGGAAATGAGTACTCTGAACCCAATTTGACCTACTCTTCCCTAAGAATCAGAGAATGCCATCCATGCTCATTTAATTGATTGTGGTATCATAAGAATGTGTGAGTATGGAGGGTACATTTTATCCCATTTTGAAAAAAAAAAAAAATTTGCCGTTCTTAAGAAAATTTTTTAGACCCTGGATACAGTCTTTGTTTGCTCACTTGTTTGTTTTTGTAGAAATGGTGTCTCACTACATTGCCCAGTCTGGTCTCGAACTCCTGGCCTCAAGCATAGTCTTTGAATGGGGAAATTGTCTTAATTAGAAAACATCATTTGTTCATTTATTTATTTATTATTATGCAACTACTTTATTCAGAAAACAGAACTAGTTCTGTGAATGATATAAAACTGAGTAGGAATTTCTCCCTTTAAAACATTAAATTTGATTGGGGGAAACAGACCACATGCATCAATGTCAACATTAGAAATTATAAATAAAATGCTGGTTGGGTGCAGTGTCTCACAGCTGTAATCCCAGCACTTTGGGAGGCCGAGGCAGGTGGATCAACTGAGGTCAGGAGTTCGAGACTAGCCTGGCCAACATGGTGAAACCCCGTCTCTACTAAAAATACAAAAATTAGCCGGGCATGGTGGTGGGCACCGGTAATCTCAGCTACTCTGGAGCCTGAAGCAGGAGAATTGCTTGAACCCAGGAGGTGGAGGTTGCAGTGAGCCGATACCACGTCATCGCACTCCGGCCTGGGTGATAAGAGCAAAAGTCCGTCTTAAAAAATATTACAAATAAAATACTGTGCAAGTTCTGTGGAAAAGTGCCTTGGAGCTGGGCACAAGAGGAAAGGTAAGGTGTCAGCAGACAGAGCTTGGTGTCCCAGCAAGGCTGTGAGCAAAGGCACAAGGGTGGGAAAGCTGCGGTCTGGGTGGTGAAAAGGCTGAGTGGAGTGCAGGATGTGGGGAGGAGTGGGAGACGAGCTCAGAGATGTGGGTCAGGAATGGGTCCCTAGATGACTGAGAATAGGCTGAGAAATTATTATTTTACAGTATAGGCAGGAACCACTGAAACATGCTGATCAAAAGTCATCCAATCAATCAGCAACTCTCTTCTAGGAAGATTAATCTGATAGTGGTATGTAGGGTGGATTGGAGTGGGTCACAGTTAAGGATGAGATCTACTGCAATATTTTAGGCAAGGTGGCATGAGGGCCTGAAGTAGGGACTAAAAGGATGCAGAAGCATGGTCAAAATAGAACACATTTTTGAAAAAATAACTTTTTATTATTATAGGGGTAATATGTGTGTATGGGTGTGTGTATGTGTGTGTGTGTGTGTGTATGTGTGTGACTTGTAAGAAGTGTTTTTGGTCTGGTGCGGTGGTGTGTGCCTATAATCCCAGCACTTTGAGAGGCTAGGGCAGGAGGATCACTTGAGGCCAGGAGTTTGAGACCAGCCTGGACAACACAGTGAGACTGAGTCTCTAAAATAAAAAACTTTAAAGAAAGAAATGTTTTTTAAAAGTTTTAAGTTACAATATAAAAAAATGACAAAAATAATATATTCCCACCACCCACATATCACACTTTTCATATATTAGGTGCATATCACCCTGGCTCTTTTTCTGTGTGTGTATGTGCACACACATATAATGTATACACTTATTTATTTAACCAAAATAAGATAATATTGTATACATTATATATGTGTGTATATATGTACATATACACATTACCTATCTGTATTTTTTTTACCAAGATGAGATATTATTGTACATACTGGATGGTAATTTTTTTCACCAATGATCTCTACTCCTCTATTTTAGTAAACTTTGAATTTATATAGTAACCAGACCATATTCAATTTTTTTCAGTTAACCAAAAAATTTCACTAGTATGTGATATCTAACTAGTTCAATCCAGGACTATGGATGCCAACAGGTTTTTATGTCCCTTAAGATTATTTTATTTTAGAAAAGTCGCTTTTTAAATTACAATGCTTTGTTGAAGGGACTAAGCCAGCTACCTGCAGGATATCCCATTTTCTGGATATTTCTGGTGACTTTCTCTTGTATTTCCTGAAACTTGTATCTAGTTGGAACAAATTGGATCTGGTCATAAAACACATTAGACCCGTATGACCCATGCCTGAATTAGACTGATGAGAAAGCCTGATCTATTTTTTAGTTCTATTTTCCCTTTGTGACTACAATGTTTTGTGCGATAGTCCTGGAACGTACAGTTCAACTACTCACATGATGATTTTAATATCAACTGATAAAATCTAGAGCTTATGAAATGATCTTTAAAAACAATTCTGGCATTTATACTACATTTATTCGTTGGCATTTTTAAGTAAAGTAAAATTTTATCGCATCAGCTGGGACTACTTAAATATCCTCAAACACAATTCCTACCAGAAGACAGGATAAATGCTTAATTAGAGTAAAGAGTTATTTTAATCGCTACTTCAAATGGTGATAAATGGGTTCCCTGACTTTCCATTTTTTCTAAATATCATTATGAATTTAACAGATTTTCATTGATTCCATGTGTTTTAATCCATCATAATCATTATACTTTTGATATTTATGTTGTCATGACTTTGAAAAGTGGGCCCTTTTCTAAGCTATCTCTTAGGTTCTTTTCACATGACCCTATTCATATTTGAAAGTTTCCTTGCTTTCTAATACAATGAAGCATCTCATGCTCATTTTAGACCTGTGTCAGAGAGAAATGAACCATTTCTTTAAGGACCGCTGATTCCTTCAGGGGAAATGATGTTAAAGACCATGTTCTGGGGAAGAAGGGAGGCATTTTCTTTTCAAGTCACTTTATGATGATATAATTTTCATACTATGAAATACATCTATTTAAAAAAAAAAAATTTTACCACCACCAAAATAAAGACACAGAACATTTCTGTCACCCCTAAAACATCCCTCCTGCCACTTCACAGTTAATCTTCTCCCTACCCTTACCCTCAAGCAACCACTGATCTGTTTTCTGTCACTGTAGATTAGTTTTGAATGTTCCAGAATTTAATATAAATGGAATGATATCATAGCTACTCTTGTGTGTGTAGCTTTTTTTCTCGTAGCAAAATTTTTCTCTTTGTTGGAGGTCAGGGAATAATTTTTTCAGGAAAAAAAAAACCTCAGAAAAAGAACTTACAGAAAGGTTGCAAATATAATCCAAAAAACATTTTAATTCTGAACCATTTTACATGAGTTTGTCAACATAATGCCCAACGACACTGAATACTGTAGTGTGCATTTCCTATAATACAACCATGAAAATCAATTAACCCTATAATCTTGAGACCCCATTTAAATTTCAGCGATGTCTCAGTAGCAAAATCATACGAATTCAGAATTATGTGTTCCGTTGAACACATCTCTATAGTCTCCTTAATTCTGGAAGAGTTCCTCAGGCTTTGATTATAATATTTTAAGATTATAGGTTATTTATGTATACAGTAGCCCTTAATATGGATTTGTCTGGCATTTCCTCATGTTTGGATTCAGATTGTGCAACTCTGGCAGAATATCACAGAAGCAATGCTGTGTTCTTCTTGTTGTATCATATCAGGTAGCACAGGATTTCTACTTGTCTCATTACTGATGAAATTTATGTTGGTCATTTGATTAATTATCTCTGTTAAGTTTCTCCACTGTGAAATTATTTTTAACAGAATGACAATTAAAATACAACATATCAAAATCTGTGGGACGCAGTTAGAGCTTATTGCTTTAGATGCTTGTATTTGAAAATAAGAAGTTCTAAGCTGGGCGTGGTGGCTCGTACCTGTAATCCCAGCATTTTGGGAGGCCAGGATAAATCACTTAAGCTTGGGAGTCTGAGATCACTTCTGGCAGCAAAGTGATACCCTGTCTCTACAAAAAATAACAATAATAAAAATTAAAATTAAAAAATAAAAAGCAAAGAGTTCTAAATCAATAAGTTTAAGAAGCAAGAAAGGGGCTCCAATCATACCCAAAGTAAGTAGAAGAAAGTAATAAGAAATCAATAAAATAGAAAAAAGACAAAATAATCAATGAAACCAAATCTTGGTTATTGGAAATGATTTAAAATTGATAAACTTGGCCAGATGTGGTGGGTCAAATCTGTAATCCCAGCTCTTTGGGAAACTGAGGCAGGAAGATTACTTGACCCAAGAGTTCAAGACCAGGATGGGCAACACAGTGAGACCCCCATCTCTACAAAAAACAAAACAAAACAAAACGAAAAAACAAAATTACCCGGGCATGGTGGCACACACCTATAGTTCCAGCTATTCAGGAGACTAAAGTGGGAGGATTGCTTGAGACCAGGAAGTTAAGACTGTAGTGAGCTGAGCTCATAACCACACACTTCAGCCTGTGTGCAGAATGAGGCCCTATCTCAAAAAGTGAAAATAAAAAATTGATAAACTTCTAGTTAGACTGATTAAGGGAAAAAAGAGAAGACATTAAAAGTATCAAGAATGAAAAAGGGAACATCATAACTGATCCAACAGATAGATGTTAAAAGGATAGTAAGAATATTATGTACAACTTCATGACAATAAATTTAAAAACTTAGGTAAAATAAATTCCTTGAAAGACACATATTACCCAAATTGACAAAAGAAGAAATAGAGATTCTTAACAACCATATGTAAATTAAAGACATTTAATTGAGAATTAAATTCCCATAAGGAAAACTCCAGACCCAGATGGTTTAGTGTTGAATTTTATCAAACATTTAAGAAAGAATACCAAGCCTACACAAATTTCTTTTCTAGAAACAGAGAAGGAAAGAACATTGCCAGCTCAGCATCATCTTGATATCAAAACTTGACAAGGACATTACAAGAATAGAATACTATAAGCCATTTCCTCTCACGAGGAAAGGTAAAAATCCTTACCAACATATTCGTACCACGTTATATGAAAAACCACTTCAATAGATACAGAAACTGCATCTGAAAAGACTCAAGCTTTTGGAAGTTTCTTCTGAATGCCTAACAAGTCTCTCCTCCTTTTCTGGTAGGAGCCTGGTGTGAGTGCCTGGAGTTCTCTGCCCTGCTCATGGATTTCTTTCATACTTGCTCTGATGAGTATTCACTAACAAGCTCAAGGAGACCCATATGCAGATTGGCAGGCTCTTTCTGCCGTAGTTCCCCATATCTTCTTACTCTGCCCCCTCAACTAAGAACCGGCCCAATGTCTTCATATTCTGATCTCTTAATTCAGCAGAGCTGTCATCTCTGCTTGGATCACTCCCATAAGCTGTGGGTAGAAAGTGCCCTCAGGCTGGGGAGACTCTGGATCCTGCCTCTCTCAGGGACCCATGGTCCTTTTGCCTACTGTCCAATGTCTGAAAATAGTTGCTTCATATATTTTGCTCAGATTCCTATTTGTTTACTCCAACATGGATTTCCGAATTGAGATGCTTGGCAAAGAATTTTGAAGGTAGAATCACAGTAACAGCTGAGTAGGGAGTACTTGGTAATTGGTTCTTTGAGAATACATAAAGGAAGAGAGATATCAAAGAGAGTGCCAGGCATTTGAGTTGGATGCCTGATACAGAATGCTGGGCGGTGGCTGGGGGACACACAGGAAATACTCAAAAAGTTGAAGATGCAGAGCTCTGACTTGAGGGGAATATGGTGGCCAGAAGAGGTCTACTTGAGTGGAAACCACAGCTGTGGGAGGAGAAGCTGTTGTAGTGGATGAAATTTGCAAGGAGACAGGAGTGAGAGAGGAAAAGGAAAAAGAGAGCTAAGGACAGGATCTTGTAAAGAACTTTGGTGTATTATGAGTAATCGCCACCAAAGAAGGCAGAGAACAGAATATAATCAGGGAATTTATTTCAAAATAGCTAGAAGAGAAGATGTGAAATGTTCCCAACACAAAGAAATGATAGATGTTTGAGGCGATGGATTTCCTAAATACTCTGACTTAATTATTACACATTCTACGCATGTACCAAAATATCACATGTACCCCAAAAACACGTATATATATTATGTATTAGTAGAAAAAAAATTTTTTAATTGCATCTGGCAATGAAAAGGTCATTGGTGACCGCCAAAGAAGACTGCCAGTAAAACAATGGGGGTGTGACCTTGACTGCAATGGTTAATGAGGAGTGGGTGTTGAGGAAGTGGAGGCAGGGAAAGAGCAGGTGAAAGGAAGAAGAGAGATCTCAGGGCAGCTGGAGGGTGGTGAGTAGGTGTGCTTGGTTTAGGGCAGACTGAAACGTGGCTGTTAGCAGAGGGAGTCATCTTCCCTGAAGCTCTGCTATAAATCTAACTTGCTGATGGTGTGGGTGTTTGGGTCGTAGAAATTCCATTTCCATCTATTCATGTCTGTATTTATTTACTGCTTGCCTGGTTCCAAAAGGGATTTCAATAGGCTCGGCCTCCAGTCTGTCAGGGACTCACTCGACTCAGCCTCTCTCTTGTCATCCACGCTGCAGAGGATAATGCAGGTCAGTCCATGAATCGCCAGCACCTAAGTATGATGTAGGCTGTTGAAGCACAGAGCAAGGGGAATCGTGAACAGAACACTCAGACTCTGGGATCCATTAGGCTCCGCTGCTCCTGCAGAACGGTGGCCCACCAGCTTCACATCAGGTCCACCCTTTGGTCCCCGAGGGGGGCTGCTGTGTCCTGGCTGCCCACTGCCCCTCCTGCTGCTTTGGCTAAGACGGGAGTCCCCGACACACTGGCTCCATGGCTTGAGGTGATGGATTTTACCCCATGAGAGGGGTAAAGAGCCGCAACGCAATGAACTCCACCCCCATGGGGTTCTTTTACCCCAGAGACTTCCGGATCCCCACGCAAAGTGCCTTTCCTTCCTGGGCCTGCTGAGACAGTGTTAGTTCAGTTTATTTATTTATTTATTTATTTATTTATTTATTATTATACTTTAAGTTTTAGGGTACATGTGCACAATGTGCAGGTTAGTTACATATGTATACATTTGCCATGCTGGTGCGCTGCACCCACTAACTCGTCATCTAGCATTAGGTATATCTCCCAATGCTATCTCTCCCCCCTCCCCCCACCCCACAACAGTCCCCAGAGTGTGATGTTCCCCTTCCTGTGTCCATGTATTCTCATTGTTCAATTCCCACCTATGAGTGAGAATATGCGGTGTTTGGTTTTTTGTTCTTGCGATAGTTTACTGAGAATGATGATTTCCAGTTTCATCCATGTCGCTACAAAGGACATGAACTCATCATTTTTTATGGCTGCATAGTATTCCATGGTGTATATGTGCCACATTTTCTTAATCCAGTCTATCATTGTTGGACATTTGGATTGGTTCCAAGTCTTTGCTATTGTGAATAATGCCGCAATAAACATATGTGTGCATGTGTCTTTATAGCAGCATGATTTATAGTCCTTTGGGTATATACCCAGTAATGGGATGGCTGGGTCAAATGGCATTTCTAGTTCTAGATCCCTGAGGAATCGCCACACTGACTTCCACAATGGTTGAACTAGTTTACAGTCCCACCAACAGTGTAAAAGTGTTCTTATTTCTCCACATCCTCTCCAGCACCCGTTGTTTCCTGACTTTTTAATGATTGCCATTCTAACTGGTGTGAGATTTTTTTTTCTTTCTTTCTTTCTTTCTTTCTTTCTTTATTATTATTATACTTTAAGTTTTAGGGTACATGTGCACAATGTGCAGGTTAGTTTCATATGTATACATTTGCCATGCTGGTGTGCTGCACCCACTAACTCGTCATCTAGCATTAGGTATATCCCCCAATGCTATCCCTCCCCCCTCCCCCCACCTCAAATGTATCTGAGATACAGATACCATCGTATCTCATTGTGGTTTTGATTTGCATTTCTCTGATGGCCAGTGATGGTGAGCATTTTTTCATGTATCTTTTGGCTGCATAAATGTCTTCTTTCGAGAAGTGTCTGTTCATGTCCTTCGCCCACTTTTTGATGGGGTTGTTTGTTTTTTTCTTGTAAATTTGTTTGAGTTAATTGTAGATTCTGGATATTAGCCCTTTGTCAGATGAGTATGTTGCGAAAATTTTCTCCCAAATGGCCATACTGCCCAAGGCAATTTACAGATTCAATGCCATCCCCATCAAGCTACCAATGACTTTCTTCACAGAATTGGAAAAAACTACTTTAAAGTTCATATGGAACCAAAAAAGAGCCTGCATCACCAAGTCAATCCTAAGCCAAAAGAACAAAGCTGGAGGCATCACACTACCTGACTTCAAACTGTACTACAAGGCTACAGTAACCAAAACAGCATGGTACTGGTACCAAAACAGAGATATAGATCGATGGAACAGAACAGAGCCCTCAGAAATAACGCTGCTTATCTACAACTATCTGATTTTTGACAAACCTGAGAAAAACAAGCAACGGGGAAAGGATTCCCTATTTAATAAATGGTGCTGGGAAAACTGGCTAGCCATATGTAAAAAGCTGAAACTGGATCCCTTCCTTACACCTTATACAAAAATCAATTCAAGATGGATTAAAGACTTAAACATTAGACCTAAAACCATAAAAACCCTAGAAGAAAACCTAGGCATTGCCATTCAGGACATAGGCATGGGCAAGGACTTCATGTCTAAAACACCAAAAGCAATGGCAACCAAAGCCAAAATTGACAAATGGGATCTAATTAAACTAAAGAGTTTCTGCACAGCAAAAGAAACTACCATCAGAGTGAACAGGCAACCTACGAAATGGTTAGTTCAGCTTTTAAAAACTTTTCTCAGGCCGGGCACGGTGGCTCACACCTGTAATACCAGCACTTTGGGAGGCCAAGGCGGGGGGATCACAAGGTCAGGAGATAGAGACCATCCTGGCTAACACGGTGAAACCCCATCTCTACTAAAATTACAAAAATTTAGCCGGGTGTGGTGGCAGGTGCCTGTGGTCCCAGCTGCTTGGGAGGCTGAGGCAGGAGAATGGCGTCAACCCAGGAGGTGGAGCTTGCAGCGAGCTGAGATGGCGCCACTGCACTCCAGCCTGGGCGACAGAGCGAGACTCCATTTCAAAAAAAAAAAACCAAACAAAAAAAACTTTTCTCTGAAAAATGCAAGCAGTTGTTAACAGCTCATTCACTTTTGTGGAGTCAAATGTCCCTCCCAGCCTGTTCCCAGTTTTCACGTGTGTCCACAGAAGCCCAGAGAGGTCAGACGATGCATCCAAAGTCACATGGCTGAGCCAAGGTGGATGAAGGACTGGCATCAAGGCCTCCAGCTTCCCCCTGAATTTTAAGGTCTTGTAAAGGGTCTGTAACTTGCAGGGAGACAGGTTTCTTGTACGTCACCCAGTACTCCAAGTATCCAGTATAACCCAAATTAATCCCTACAGACTTATGAGGCACGTAGAAGGATTCTGTACATTTGAGGAGCTCAAATGGTTGATTTTCAAGTCCAAGGACACCACAGGGCTGGGAACTCTGACCTTGCTTCTGGTGCCACTGGATGTTTCAGTTTGCAGAGATGACACCAGGGCAGCACCCCAGGGCTGTCCGCGAGTGTCGCAGAATGAATACGTCTGTATTTCAGAAACATTCCTTGCACGCTTCGTGTATTTCAGAGTTCTCAGTCAGCACCAGCTAATTATTTCCCATAGCTTTCTGTTAGTGGGTGAAGATTGGTGCCCCTCATCCCACACACTGGGAACAGCAACAGTTCACACCAGGGGAGTGTCTGTTCCAGACGGAAGAGAAAACCAGGAGTACAGCTTGTTGTGGGGCTCCAGCTGCAGATCCTGGGCCATTCAACTGACACAGCAGGGCCAGCTTTTCTCCATGTCGGGAATTCTTTCAAGGCCCATCTCAGAATGATGTTTTGGCCAAAAAAATTGTCTGGAAGAGGACAGCCACTTTTGTTTTTACAGTGTGATCCTATTTATGTAAAACTTAATAAGTTCAAATAGTATTATATATTGCAGACTTCATACTATACAAAAAAAAAATCTCACAGGAGATTGAATTTCTAAATGTTGAAACGAAAACCTTAACTTTAGGGGAAAGTATAGGAGAATATTATCACCTTGAAACTGATAAATACTAAAATGTAAAACTTCAGCAGAAGAAAATAAATAAAAAAGAACCAACCACAGTCCAGAAGAAGATATTCACAACGCACATGACTGAAAAAATGATTTTTATATTCTCATATATTAAAAAACAGCCACTTTTTAGAAGTACCATTTGATCCAGCAGTCTCACTACTGGGTGTCTATCTAGAAGAAAAGAAGTCATTATACAAAAAAGATACTTGCACACCCATGTTTATAGCAACACAATTCACAATTGCAAAAATATGGAACCAGCTCAAATGTCCTTTAATCAACGAGTGGATAAAGAAACTGTGGTGTATGTATATATATATATATATATATGAGGGAATACCACTCAGCCATAAATAGGAATGAATTAATGGCATTTGCAGCAACCTGGATGTAATTGGAGACTATTATTCTAAGTGAAGTAACTCAGGAATGGAAAACCAAACATCGTATGTTCTCACTCATAAGTGGGAACTAAGCTATGAGGATGCAAAGGAATAAGAATGATACAATGGACTTTGGGGACTTGGGGGAAAGGGCGGGAGGGGGTGAGGGATCAAAGACTACAAATTGGGTTCAGTGTATACTGCTCAGGTGATGGGTGCACCAAAATCTCACAAATTACCATTAAAGAACTTACTCATGTAACCAGATACCACCTGTTCCCCAAAAGCCTATGGAAATAAAAAATTAAAAAATAATAACAACTTTTAAAAAAATAAAAATAAACAACTTTATCCTGTCAAAATAAAATTAAATTAAATTTTAAAACAGCCACTTTTAATTAAAATGAGGTCCCTCAGCGGGTCAGCCCAACCGCTCCCCCTGCCTGCCCCATGCTGTGGAAAGTACATAAATGTGATCTATTTCCTTCTTTGAACAGTCTGGAAATAATAGAATCTGTTATGGGCTGAAAGGTGTTCCCCGAAAATGCTGATGCTGAAGCCCACACACTCAACGTGACTCTATTTGGAGGCGGGGCCTATGAGGAGGAGATAAAAGTTTAAGTGAGGTCAGGAGGCACCTTGACCTTGGACTTCCAGCCTTTAGAACTTCAAGAAAATGAATGTCTGTGGTTTAAGCCACCTAGCCCGTGGTATTTCTTTATGATAGCCCAAGCTAATATGGAGAATGTTTATTTAAAATCCCTTATTTTGAAAACGAGGAAATTAAGGCCCTCAGATGTGATTTGGTGGAAGTCAACATTGCTTCTGAGTGACAAAGCCAAAACCAGAACCGGATTTAGAAGCCAGGCCATTCCTCACCACACCACAATGCATGTTTTGTTTTTGTTTTTGTTTTTGTTTTTTTTTGAGACAGTCTCTCTCTGTTGCCCAGGCTGGAGTGCAATGGCGCAATCTTGGCTCACTGCAACCTCCACCTCCCGGGTTTAGATTCTCCTGCCTCAGCCTCCTGAGTAGCTGGGATTACAGGTGCCTGCCACTATACCTGGCTAAATTTTTGTATTTTTAGTAAAGACGGGGTTTCACCATGTTAGTCAGGCTGGTCTTGAACTCCTGACCTCAGGTGATCTGTCCACCTCGGCTTCCCAAAGTGCTGGGATTACAGGCGTAAGCCACCATGCCCAGCCCACAATGCATGTTTTAAACCTAAGCTATCTGCACCCAACCTCAATAGACAATGCTACTCAATTTACTTGCATGAGTTTCTGCTATCTTCCTGAGCATGTCACAGGATGAGACAACACAGAGTCGAAGCATTAATCAAAAAGCGATTTTGATCCAGAGCTTTTCAGGCTTGCAAACTCAAATGTTTCACGGACTTAGGCAGGTAAATGTGTGAAGTGGCTGGGTAAAAATCAATAAGGAGTGGTGAGGGTTGTGGCAAACTGGAGCAAGCATGCTCTGTAGAGCACTTACATTCCAATTTTTTAATCATTAAAGCCAAACACATCTGGCTTGTAGGTCATCCATCTGGCACCTCTATCTGGGTAGGCAAGGCTAGGCTGCAAATATAAAGAAATCCTGAAGTCTCAGTGGCTTATCACAATAAAAGTGTATTGCTCACTTATGTCACATACTTATGTGGTTGGAGATTGGGGCAGGCTCTGCTATACACAGTTGTTCAAAGATCTGGCTCCTTCCATCTTGGGGAACCACCAGTCCCAACACACGGCCTTCAAGGCTGTAGCAGAAGGAGGTGAGACAGAGAATGGGAGGAAGCTGGTTGACGTGCCAGGCTTGGAAGTGGCATCTGTTGTTTTGGCCCTCATGCCACCATCCAAAACCAGGCCTACGGCCCCACCTAGAAGGAGGGGAGCTGGAAGGATCCCTTGGTTTGCAAGCCCATGAAGAGCCTGAAACAGTTTGTGGGCAGACAGCATCATCTTGGCCTCACCTGTTCACAGGTGCTGTTCCATGCCCCAATGCACCTGAGTCTCACAGCTCACTCTTGGAGGCAGGCTGCATTCATAACCTCACTTTACTGATGACAGGAACCGAGGACCACAGGTGTCAGGCCACCTCCCCGGATCACAGAGCCACTAAGAGGAAGAGCCAGGATTCCTTCCCTGTAACCTCTCACCCAACCCTCTCTTCAGCCCAGTTCCCAGAGCCACTCACCATGTGGGAAGGGACAGAGGGAGGTTTCTGGCTGTGGCTATTCCATCAAGAAGGGGTATGGTGTGGTGGCAATGCCGTTCCTCCAGCTCCTAGTACAAAGCACATTTTCTGGCTGAAAGTCTTCAAATGGGTCAAAGCCATCTTTCATCATGGCTCCTTCTCTGTAAACAGAAGACACCTAGATGTGGAGGGAAGAGATGGGAGCTGGGGCTGAAGACTGCCCTGTGGCTTCCAGGAAAGTCTGTGGATTCTGTTGAGGGCCGTGATTAAGAAAAACCAGATCCGCGTCTACCAGTGTCGCCGGCTGTTCTGGGCAGTCCGGGTCAGAGGGCTCAGGGTTGCCCCTCCAGATGTGGCTCCACCAGGCCGGCAAAAGACACGGCGAAGGGAAGGGCTGGGGAAGCAGGAATACCTGAGATGAGGGGTGCAGCCAAGATTACAGCATTGGGTTGTAGGACTTTGGAAATGGGGAAGCTACTCTCAGTGGTATCAGGCTGGAGAATGGCAAAAAGGCAAACAAATAACTTATTTTGCTTTATATTTTTATTTATTTATTTTTGCTTTGTTCCTTTCATCTGGGAATCTCAGGAACTCACCTGGAATGAACTTCTCGTCAAACATGGCATTTGAAAGCCACAAGGAGCTCAGAGCTCAGCCAGCCTAGCAGCTCAGCTGGGAGGGGAACGAGTAGTGAGAAGGGTGGGCCAGCGCCTGACGCAGCTTTGCCACCAGACTCTCTCTTTTCCAGAGTGACCCTCCTGGTCAGCAGCCTCGGCTCCCAGGGATGGACTCCCAACATTGTGCCATCTGGACTCTTTTTGTTGAGAGGAACCAAGTCTCATTCAGGCCACCTCAGCTCATGGGTTGAGACTGGTATTTTAAGAACACATATGACTCAAAGAGCCCCAGAAAAGAGGAACAACCGGGCCTTTTATAAACACTGGGGCTGTGGTAACAGGTAGGCCTCTCAGGCTGGCCTGGACAGTTCTTTGAGCTGCTCCTGCAGGCCCTGCTGTCTGTGCTGCCTTTAACCACCTCCTTATCTCCACTTCCCATGGCTGGGGCCCTGCACAGCTGACCCTGGCCGCCCCATTTGGCAGAAGCAGGTGCGAAGTTTGCCTTAGTGAGGAACGGAGGCCGTGGCATGAGCCGTGGTTGCCGGGTCCAACACGTGGAGAGAAGCACTATTTTACTGGAATCCCTGACAACCCTGAAGTAGCTTTGTGCAGGAAGGATGAGGTGAGGTGAGAGGGGTCACTCATCTCAACCCAGGGTTCTTAATTTGTGGGGCATGAGGGAACCTGGGACTTCCTTCGAGTTGTGTAAAAATGTTCTCTGTATGGGCATGAGCACACGTTTTCTGGGAAGAATATCTGTAATAATACTTCATCACATTCTCGAAGGGCTCTTGACCTACACGTGGCTCTGCTCCCGCAAAGCATGAGAGGGGGCTCTGCGATCCAACTGCCTCAGCCTCCCAAAATGCTGAGATTACAGGTGTAAGCCACTGCCCCTGGCCTGCCTCCTGAGATTTTAAAATGCATGTTTATGGGTTTGCTTGTTTGTTTTCTGATTTGTAAAGCAGTCCATGCTTATGTGATAACAGAAGAAATAACGTAATAGAAGGTGACATGAAAAAGCAAAATACACAATTGTTATTTCTACTCTGCAAAAGTGGGTATTCACCAAGTGTCTGCTATGCTTCCTGGTGGCTGAGGATACAGCAGAAGAAGAGAACAGACCCGAATCTCTTTCCTTGTGGAGACTGCTGTCTGGGTGGGGAGGCTGGGTTTCCGTAACACAAAAACAGATAACAGCCGCAAAGATGAATGACCCTTGGAGTCTTTTCGGCGGTGGTAAGTGGTAGGGAGGGGCAGGATGGCGGGCGGCCTCACCACCAGGCAGCATCAGCAGGCACAGGCCTCACAGATCTCTGGGAGAGGCTGGCTGGGCAGAGGAGGAGAGGAAGGGCAAGTGCCAAGGCCCTGAGACAGGAGTTTGGGGGCGAGTGCGAGTGGCTTGCAGAGGTCAAGAAGAAGCTTCCAGATGTTCACCGATGGAGCCCGACAAATGAGGGTGAGAAGGCACAGCCCCCACAAGCCCATCAACTTAGTGGGCTCGGAAGTCATTTTGTGGTCCATCTGTCCCCATAGGGTGAACCAGTCTGGGATCCTCCATCACCCAGAACACAGGCAGATTCAGGGGTGAGAGGGAAAGAATGTGCTTTTTGTGCAAGACT
The DNA here is from genome assembly GCF_000001405.40 of Homo sapiens. NCBI lineage: Eukaryota > Metazoa > Chordata > Mammalia > Primates > Hominidae > Homo > Homo sapiens. The sequence continues at coordinate 228,900,027 of NC_000001.11, forward strand.
TGGAAAATATGGAAGAGAGAAAACAAGGAACTGAGGGTCTTCAGGTGCACGGGCTCACTCTCCTCAGCTTCAGCCAGAGGGACAGGCAGAGGAGTCATTATCCAGCACCGCTGGCCACCAGCCCGACCGTGAGCCCATCTTCTTTCTGCTTTCAAAGCAGCTGCATCATGTGGCTTCTCCCCGACCTCCCGAGCTGTTGTTAAGTACAACTCTTCATGTGATCTCAAAGAGATGCAGTCATTGCTCCACGGTGTCATCGAAAATACTCCAGGGCAGCGTAGGTGGGTGGGGCGGACTCATTTACACAAAGACCCGAGGCCTCTGGGGGGCCATCCTCTGGCCAGCTCTCCTGTGTCTGATGGGGCTGAGTCTGGGCGTGGGGTGGGGATTTGCCTTGGCCTAGGGCTTTTACGGGGTGAAAAACCCTCTGCTTTTACTTAGGGTTGGTGAGATCATTATCTAACAGCATGGCCATGGGAGAGAGCCTTTTCCAGCTTCCTGAAGTGATAAAAGACCACTCTCCTGATGAGAAACGAGCTGGAATGAGAGTGCTGCTTGGCTCTCACTACAAACTACAGTTCCAGTCAGCATATAATGAGCTACACAAATGTATTTGGGACTAGAAGTGAGCGCAGAAAGCAAGCATTCTGGCAGCCTAGGATGTGAGTTGTTTTGACTTTTAAAAAATCATCTTTGAGGTTGAAAATACAAGTGTTTTTTTTCCTCCTTAACATAAATATGTGCTCATTCTAAAGAACCCCAGGCATCCAGGCAGCACATACCGTTTCCCGAAATGCACCAAGAGGCTGCTGCAAGTGGATACGAACATTTTGCTCCTAACACAGTCCTCCCTCACATTTCTCTCTGGAAAAAAACCAAAAAACCAAAACCAGCTGCTGGTAGAAGCTACTTCTTAAAAGGACACAAGGCAGGTTCAAAAAGAATCATGGATTTTTTTTTCTACCCCAGTCTCCCACCCAGCCACAAAGAACAAACAATAAAACCCAACCGAAAAACAGGGTTGAGAGACGTTTGCTTTGACTTTCTGTATGCTTTCTGGCATTAAGCACTCACTTGCGGGCTGACAGTTTGCAGCATTTATAAAGCATCTTAGCTTTCTCATGGGACTGGTATGAGATCTTGCCACCCACCCATGGAAGCTGTAGCCCTCTTCACTGCTGCGGCCACCAGGGTGTGGGTGGAGGGTCGGCCCCACCACACAACTGTAACTAGGCCCACAGGTTGGGTGTGGAGAGCTGTGCATTAGAAGGGATGGGTCCATCTGGGGCCTCTGCAGGTGGCAGGAAGAGACTGTAACGTCACCCATTAGTAGCCCTAATAACATTATGAGGCTTAGTCCACTGAATCCAAAACTTTTCCTTGGTCCATGGACCCATGTCACACTTTAATGCAATCTTACAGAAAAATGCAAAAACCCAAACTGCTAGACCAAGTATTTCTATCTGCATCCCAGCTTTCTTACACTGTCATTGCAGGGAATACTTGGGAAGAAGAATGTTCTCAATGGGTGCGAGCTTGACTCAGCGTCAGCCCCTCCTAGGCTGCCACTCTTTTCTGTTCAGATCAAGTGATCAGTGCTCTGGCATATTGGCGGGGTCTGCAGTGATGTGGGTGGTCCTGTATATTGAGAGGCCTTTGGTAACCTCTCACTGGAGCAGGGTCAGCTGGTCCTGGAAACACACTTGACACGCTGGAACCTGCGGTTTGAGCTACCATGCCTCATGGGTCTTATTTGGTATTCAGAATATGTCCTGGAGAGCAGGGAACTTAGGAGTGTAACAGTGTCATTTGGCAGGGACCAGAGACTAAGCGTTATCTTCTAAGGTGAGCTCTTCCTCGGGGCCCCTTCCACACAGCCTCCAGGTGGCCACTCCCAGCTTGCTGAGTGTCTGCAGAGCCCCTGCTATTGATGTGTGTATTTAGATCTCTTAGTATCCTCCCACCTAAGTAAATGAGGGGTCTCAGCTTAGCCTACACTGTGCTTCCCTGCATGTACATGCATGCACACGCTCAACACAGCACATACACACACTCAATACCCAGCACACACATGCATATACACCCACAGGCTGAGTGGCCAGTGCTGATGGGGAGGAGTGCTGATAGAGAAAGATTTGGGGGCCAGTACCCTGGGCTGAGAGCTTACATGTGGCCCTGGGATTGTGGCCAGTGTCTTGGAGAAAGAGACTACAGGTAGCGTAAAGTGGGTTGTTTTCAGGAAGGTCTGTGTTACACTCTGAGAGTATGCCACGACTCTTTAAGGCTCAGATGAGAAAGAGTGACAGAGTTGGGAAAAGGGGCATCCTCCTCACTTTTGCACAGGACACAGTGCCACCCTGGGCTGGGAGACTAGAAGGGAAGTTTGTGTCATTCAGTGCCATGGGGGTTCTTCAGTTTCAGGAGATGTCCCCCACCCCCCGGCAGGGTGCTAACCATGGAGGGCAACCACTGATGCCTCCAGCAGCTTCTGGACAGAAGATCCTGTAAGGAGCCAGAGAAGAAGGAGAGGGGCCTGGTGCTGTGCATGTGTGAGGTTGTTCAGGCTCCTTCAATGGCCGGTGCTGTGACATCTACATGTCTCTCTCTGTGTGTCTGTCAACCTACCTATTGACTGTCTATCTACCTACCTATCCTATCATATCTATCTCTATCTTTCATCTATTTATCATCTATCTACCAATCTCATCTATGCATTTAAATATGTATGTATGTATGTATCTATCTATCTATCGATCGGTCGATCGATCATTTATTTTTTATCTTGATTACACCAGATAAGCTGAGGATTTTGCAGGTAAGCACGTGGAAGCTAAAGGCCAGCAAGACTTGGTTAGGAATATCAATGCGTCCTCTCTCACGGCTACCAACCAGCCAGTGAGGGATTTGCAGTGTGACAAAACAGGCCTAAGCCCTGACTGGCTGAGGGAGCCAGTGCCTTACAGGTTAGTCAACCAAATGGGGATAGTGGAAAAAACAATGCACAAAAGGTTTCTGAAAAGCAGAAATCAGGGTGCCCTGGAGTAGTCATGGCAGTAAATTAGCGGCAGTCAGTGGCATGGTGCCCACAGCTGGGCTTTTCCCGGCCTCTTTTTCACATGCCACAGGGGACCGTTTGCTACAAGGGAGCCTCAGTTGGCACCACTCCACTGTTTATATTTGGTCATTTATTCCCAATCCTCATGAGTCAACCAGAGAGCTCTGCCAGTGGTGATGATTCTGCCGCGCTGTTTTATCTGGAGCAGTGCCATGGACTCTGTGCTGATGTATAATCCCTGAAGGAAAACAGGAAAAGATAGCCGTACACAGGCAAAATATGTACATATTTCACTGGCGCAGCCACAAAGCCAGAATAAGTCAACTAGTTCAGCTGAAACAAAAGTCAACCCAAACACTGAACCACACAAGCCCAGGAAATTTTGTTTAAAAAAAGAAAGATATGAAGAAGGAGGAGGAAGATGCGACATGCTCTGGGGAGCCCTGTTTCAGACTCTGTTCTGGTGATCCTCACGCAGGTGAAATCACTTTCCACAGTGGGCTTGGGGGCTTCGGGTGCTAACTCTTCCCCACTGTCTCACTGACAATGGTGGGCGCCCTGGGCTGATTCCTCACTATCTATCCCAACACTCTCCTTTCCTTCACCCAGAGCCTGGAGAGCTAAACCCTATGTTTCCCAGGCCCAAGGCTCCAGATGTGATTAGTATCTGCCAAGCAAATTCCCTCCTGGAAGGGTTGATTTCAGAGCAGAGTTAAGCCAAACAAGAGGCGGGACACAAGACTTCCAGTTTTGCAGGTGTGGGACTGTTGCAGAAAGATCACTGTTCCATGCAGTGAGCAGCTACAGGAACAGTGCTTCGATTCCTTGGAGGCAGCTTTCCCTGCGCAGCTCTGCAGACTGCAGTGCTAGTCGCGGCTTCCTGATTCAGCAGGCAGCCTCCTCAGAGCAGCAGGAGCTGTGGGGACTGTGGGGACTGTGGTGACTTTGGTGACTTTGGCCACCAGTCCTGCAATGTGGCTTTGGATGTAATTCCTAGAAGCTTAGCCTCAAATCTGTTTCCTCTGCTCTCCCAATGATTCTGTAAACTATTTCACACCCTCAATATTTCTTCTCCGCTTAAACTAGCGAGAGTGTATTGTATTCTGTGCAACTCAATGCTGATGAATCAGAGTATAAAATGGTTTAGAGCGGGGTTTGGTGGCTCACACCTGTAATTTCAGCACTTTGGGAGGCCGAGGTGGGAGGATCACTTGAGCCCAGGAGTTTGAGAACAGCCTGGTCAGCACAGTGAAAACCCCATCTCTACAAAAAATTTAAAAATTACCCAGGCGTGGCGGTGCATGACTGTGGTCCCAACTACCAGGGAGGCTGAGGTGGGAGGATCACTTGAGCCCAGGAGGTTAAGGCTGCAGCAACTATGAATGGGCCACTGCACTCCAACCTCATGACAGAATGAGACCCTCCCTGCCCCTAAAAAATAAATAAACCAGATTGGCCATGCTCACTTCACAGTGAATAGGATGGCATGGAGGCCCAAGGCAATCTTGGTAAGTTGCTAAGTTGAAGCCTAATGTGAATAATAAAGGAGTTTGCCAACTTTTAACTTTCCCAATTTCAGAAATTCTCACTAATCCCCCAACATTTATCCCCTTTGAGTTCCAGGAGGAATTCTTCCCCACATTTTAAACTATGCTGAAAGTATGAAACACACTGAGCTGGATATGTCTGTTTGAGATGAAATATCCTGGGGGACCAGTAGGGTCTGGACATCGTATACATGGAGACAGATAACCACTGTCGCTTATATAGGTTCTCTATGGTCAGCAAATATCCCTAGGGGGAATTGTCTCACAGCCATTCCCTATGTGTTGTATTTGGGTCAGAAAGCAGTTCTGAGGTTGCTGTTCTCTCCATGATCTGGCCAGTTCTCACCTTATCCAGACTGTGGTAGGCAGAATAATGCTCCCCAAAGATATCTGTGCCCAAATCTCTAGAACCTGTGACTATGTTATGTTACATGGCAAAGGGGAATTAAGGTTGCAGATGGAATTAAGGTTGCTAATAAACTGACCTTAAGGTAGGGAGATTATCTTAGACTATCCAGGTAGGACCAATGTCCTTGTTCAAGAACAAGGGTTCTTAAAAGTAGATGAGGAAGGCAGAAGGGAGATGTGATACAGAAGAATGATCAGAGAGATGCAGCATTGCTGGCTTTGAAGATAGAGGAATGTGTTCAGAACTAAGGAAGGGGACAGCCTTTAGAAACTGGAAGAGGGCAGCCAGGCACGGTGGCTCATGCCTGTAATCCCAGCACTTTGGGAGGCCGAGGCAGGTGGATCACCTGAGGTCAGGAGTTCAAGACCAGCTTGGCCAACATGGCAAAACCCCATCTCTACTAAAAGTATAAAAATTAGCAGGGCATGGTGGCAGGCACCTGTAGTCCCTGCTACTCAGGAGGCTGAGGCAGAAGAATAGCTTGAACCCAGGAGGCAGAGGTTGCAGCAAGACAGAGATCACAGCACTGCACTCCAGCCTGGGTGACAGAGCAAGAGTCTGTCTCAAAAAAAAAAAAAAAAAGAAAAAAAAGAAAAAAAAGAAACTGGAAGAGAGAAAGAAGAATTCTCCCCTAGAGCCTCCAAAAGGAATGCAGCCTGATCAAAACTTTGACTATTACCCAATGAGAACTGTGTCAGACTTCTGACCTCCAGAGCTGTAAGATAATAAATTTGTATTGTTGAGGCCACCAGGTTTGAGGAATGTGTTGCAGCAGCAGTAGACAACTAATACACAAACCTTAAGCCTTTCATTCATGTCACTCCATCAAACTCCAAGCGCGTTCATGGCTAAGGAAGCTGCTTTGGGGTTGTGGCTGCTGCAGGGGAAGGGTTTGCAAATAACTTTTCATTCTCTAGGAAGACTGGCCAATGGAAAAACCATGCTTCCCTTCCCTAAGGATGAATAGAAATCTTTAGTAACTTCATTTGGATAGAAACAATATGTAAATGATATGTAAAAGCAAATTTCTCAAAATTTATGAGGGCTGTATTGCATAATTCTATACAAACAGTCTGGTGTGTGGGATCCTATTTCCCTGAAAAGATGAAAAGATAAGCTATCCTATGGTGAAAAATTGAAGGCTGTATGAATTGCAAGGGGGGGAAATTATAGTTGAAATGCTATTATGAATCTTTTTGACCAGACCTGCCGAATATAATATTAAAATTTAAACACACTGTCTCAAACATTGCTCAAGAACTTCACGAAACCCCTTCATGTGGTCATGCCCTGTTCTCATGGCTGAGTGCGCGCTCTGATGAATGTTCCCAGAGGACAGGGACAAAGTGAGTGTCTCAGCTCTCTCTGCATGATCCTTTTAGGAACTCTTCTCACAGGCCCCAAGAGCAGAAATGTAACAAACATTTATTGGCCAAAAGGCACTCAGTTCGTGACTACCACTTGATAAAATGTTCGTCTGTGCATTAAAGCTTGCCTTCAGTACCAAAGAGCGAATGAAGCTCCACAAGGTCTTCATCTAATAAGCACCCCGGGAAGACCTGGCCTCAGGAGAGTCTGACTGCATGGAGTAAGAGGGCTATGCCCAGGCAGTGCCAACAGCAGAGGGCTAGGAGCCGGTGGCGAGAGGAGCAACAGAGGAGGTCAGGGTGGAGTGAGGAGGGCTACCAAGAACTCTGAGCACCTGGGGGCAGCCCAGAACTGGAAGAGCAGGGGAAGTGAGGCTGGGGAGGTGGAATCATAAAACAGAAAGGGTTGAAAGCCCCTTAGACTGGCAGCAGTAGAAATAAAGAGACACCAAATATTTGGGAGCAGGTCTTCATCTACCATTCTTTACCCATTTGAGATATCTACAGTCAGTCCTCCATATCAATGGGTTCAGCCTCTGTGGGTTCAACCAACCACAAATGAAAATATTCTAAGTAAATAAATAAAATAACAACACAACAATTAAAAATAATGCAAAGAAAGTACTACCATATGCTAGCTATTTACATAGCATTTACATTGTATTAGGTATGAGAAGTAATCTAAGATAATTTAAAGCATATGGGAGGATGTGTGCAGGTTACATGCAAATACTATGCCATTTATATAAGGGACGTAAGCATCTGCAGAGTTTGTATCTGAGAGGGTCCTGGAACCAATCCCCTGTGGATACCGAGGGCCAACTGTATATATTTTTCACACTTTAACATACTGAAATAGCGCTGTGTCTTACAACTGATGTTGTTTTAAAATCACAGTCATCGTCTGCCCAGAGATGAACATGGTTGTTACTTGTGGCAGCAGGATTGGACCACTGCAGTTCTTTGATATTTCAGTCAACAAACACGCACAGTTTGGGGAAGGATAGAAGTGAGCCCTAGTTAATATCCAAAACCTTTTCATGGAATTGCATTTCAGCGGAAAACCTTTTATTAATTGGCCATGTCTGGCAGGGCCACAAAAGCACCAGAATCAAACCTCACAGAATGGGGATAAGGGCCCTGGAAGATCCTGGAAACAGTCATGGGGCACTGTGAGAAGTGCTGCATCTCAACAGCAAGGAAAAAACACAAATGAAACTTTGAGTTAAAAATGACTTGGAAGAATCAGACTCTGCCTGTGAAGAAGTTTTAGGAACATTTTAAACCAGTTCATTTTAATCATATTTTCCCTTTTATGTCTGCATAAGGGTTCTATTTAGGCACAGAGTTTAAAAATATAAGTCTAAAAGAGCTCTTTCAGTAAGCGCAAACTAAAATTTCTAATAAAAAAGCATTGTGCCACAGTTTAATTGACAACATTGTTTTCTTTCTTAGTGTTCATAAAATAACAGTGCATCTTATAATCAATACTGTCTCGGATCTTATGAAATATGATAATTTTCTCTTTAGCTGTGTTAATTTGCTATTAAACCCACCAAAGGAATTTTAACTTTTAGATACTGTATTTTTATTTCTAGAAGTTCTATTTGTTTTTGTAAAAATATACTAGGTCACTTTTTATAGATTCCTGTTATCTGCCACTATTTTTAAGCCTGTTTTATTTCTTTAAACATGGTAAGCATCAGTTTGACTTTGTCTGATAATTCCCATATCTAAGTATTAGAGGAATATTTGTTCTGTTTATTCTTTCAGTTGTTTTTGTCTATGATGAATTGTTTCCTTGTGTGCTTGGTTATTTTTGACTGTGTACTGCTCATTGTCCTTGTAAAAGTATTTATAGGCCGATGTTGAGAAACTATTTATCCATAATAGAATTTGGGATTCATTCTCCCAGACACCTGAAGGCACTACCAGCCTGGGACTACTTTAAAATAAATTCATAATTAAAGGTTTCCTGTACCACCCAGGTGATGTGAGGCTATGATGCACATCCTTATGAGAGTCACCTTGTGATCACAACTCCTTAGGGGCTGTTATTGTTTTTCTGATATTTTTCCTTTGCTCTGATGATCACCAAGAGAACCTTACCTGCAGCCTCGTACAGGTGGAAAGTGAGGTGGTTTTATTTCTAGTTCACCATTGTCCTTAGGCTGTATAGACCTCTGGAATCCCAGCTTATGTGGAGAAGGTATCCTGTTAGACTTCCCTCCTTTGGTCAGCACTGGGCCTTAACTTCTGGCCCCTCAAAGCTGCTAAAACTGAAGGCCAGGCTTGCCTGGCTTGGCAAAGGACGTCGGGCAGAAGCAGCTTCTCCTCTCCTCTTGTTTCTCTGTTTCCCCTCACCATAGGCTTTGGCCTGGGAGTTTCCTACAATTTTGTCAGCTATTTGACACTGTTAAGGAGACATTTAGAATATTTAAATTAGAGCTTTGGTCGTTTTCATGGGGAGAATTGGTTTCAAATAACTCGGCTGAAATTTCTATAAGAAAAAAATCTCTGTTGTTATTTTATTATTGTTCTGTCTGACAGTACCTGGTTCATAGACTCTGAGGCCTTCTACATATGTGGTGGGAATCAAAAGCAGAGAGACGAAGCTGCTGCAGAGAAGGAGCAGAGTGAAAGAGCAAGCCCCTTATAGGGGTGGATATCGCAGAAGAGATGAATCCCATGAGCCTGGGGACTGGCATGTCCCTGTAAAGGCAGTTTCCCCACTGTTGTCGGGGAAAGAGGCCTGGCATTCTCCCCTACCTGTGACTTTGATCTTATGACACTTGGTATCAATTATCTCAATTTGGTGCCCAATCAAATAAGTTGTAATATCTCTTCACTCTTTCACAAGTGGATCCCTTGACCACATGGAAACTCTGGGAGAGTGGGACTATACATTGTCTTTCCTTTTGTATTTCACTCAATTTCAAAAAGCTCAGAGGATCTAGAGTCTGGAAAGGGCAGGGGTAATGGATGGATAGGGAGAGATTTTAAAGGATGCAAAATTACAGCTAGATAGAAGTAAGTTCTAGCATTCTATAGCACTGTAGGATGACTATAGTTAACAGTAATACACTATAGTTTCAAATAGCTAGAAGGAGGATATTAAATGTTCCCAGCATGAAGAATGATAATTGTTTGAGATGGTAGACATGCCAATTACTCTGATCTGATCACTTTAGGTATCAAAACACCACTATGTACCCCATAAATATGTACAATTGTTATGTCAACTAAACAAATACAATAAAAATAGGAAAATGTTAAAAAGAGTACTATACCCTTAATTGAATACTAAGTTGGTTTGGTTGGTTTGCAGTGTCTACTAAAGCTGAGCTTACAAATACCCTATGATCCAGGAATCCCATTCCTAGAAATATTCCCCCAAAATACTTATTTATGTTTCAAATGACATGGATAAGAATGTTTGTAGCAAGACTGGAAACAATTCCAATTTCCATCAACAGTAGAATGGATAAATAAACTGCAGTACATTCATCCAAGGGAATATACCACACATCCATGTAAATGGACAAATGACTGCCAAACCAAAACAGGGAGGAAGCTCAAATACAATGTGAGCATGACACACCAGAAATAAAAGAGAACCTACTGTGTGACTCCATTTAGGTAAAGTTCAGAAAGAGGAAAAAGTACTCTGTGGTATTAGAGGCTAAGATCATGGTTACCTTAATTAAACGAGGCAGTGAGGAGGGAGGCAGTGAGTGGAAGAGGATACAGGGAAGGCCCTGTGTTCTCTTTCTCGGTTGCATTTCTTTTTTTTTTTTTTTTTTTTTTTTTTTTGAGATGGAGTCTTTCTCTGTCACCCAGGCTGGAGTACAGTGGTGCAATCTTGGCTCACTGCAACCTCCGCCTCCCAGGTTCAAGCAATTCTCCTGCCTTAGCCTCCTGAGTAGCTGGGATTACAGGTGGCCACCACCATGCCCAGCTGATTTTCTTTTGTACTTTTAGTAGAGATGGGTTTTCACCATGTTGGCTAGGCTGGTCTCGAACTCCTGACCTCGTGATCTGCCCACGTTGGCCCCCCAAAGTGCTGGGATTACAGGCGTGAGCCACCATGCCCGGCCCTCTCAGTTGCATTTCTATATTGTTTTTGGTTTCTTCAGTGTGTTGACTTTGTGTGTACCTATTGAACTGTGTATTTATTTATTTGTTTGTTTATTTTTAATTTTACTTTTAGAGACAGAGTCTCACTCTGTCACCCAGGCTGGAATGCAGTGGTGTGATTACAGCTCACTGCAGCCTCAACTTCCCAGGCTCAAGTGATCCTCCTGCCTCAGCCTCCCAAGTAGCTGGGACCACAGACACACACCACCACAACTAGATAACTTTTTATTTTTTATAGAGACAGGGTCTCACTATGTTTCCCAGGCTGGTCTCAAACTCCTGGGCTCAAGTGATCCACCTGCCTTGACATTCCAAAGTGCTGGGATTACAGGTGTGAGCCACCGTGCCCAGCCTTGAACTGTATATTTATGATGTGTGTACTTTTCTCTATTTATATCTTACATTTTAATTTAAAATGCTGATGCTATAAAACATTGTTAAATTTTTGTTTTTCTCTAAGAAAGGCCAATTCTGTTCAACTTTTGGATACAGAAAAGTGCAAAGTCCTTCTCCAGATGGCTTTGGGGCTCTCCCTCTCTGGGAGTTAACATTGGGGTAACACAAACCTGATTGTGAAAATCAGCACCAGGGGCTCCTATCACTGGGGGGCAACTCAGCAATTCCAGAGCCGTGCGACAGAAACACATCAGTTTACAAACCTGCCAAGGCCTCTCTCATTATTTCACCTTCCCAACGCGAGTCCAGTTGTGTTTTATTCATCAGAAATATAGATTTTTATTGTTTACCCTTCCCTCTCTTTAAAGGCGGTGATTGTGGTGATCTGTCACCGAAGTCCAGCCCCCGTCCCTCAGGGGGCTTTCTCCCCCTCCCCCTTTCCAGCACTTGATCCTCT